>NC_000002.12:23267331-23418846 GCF_000001405.40 Homo sapiens | reverse complement strand
CTGTGAGTCAAACACAATGCTCTGTAGTCTTTCTTTTTTAATCCTCACAGTAACCCCAGCGTATTGGGTAAGGTTATCCCTGACTCACAGATGAAACAGCTGAGACTCAGAGGGGTTAAGTCACTAACAAAGTTCATAAGCTGTGGCCCCAGCATCCCTGGGCCCCCGGTTACCATCACTGCTGGCGTCCAGGCTTCCCTTACTACCCTCCCCCGGTTACTGTTTAGCACAGGGCTAAATCTAATCAACAAAGAAAATTCCTGTGTCAGCAACAGTCCGTGGAGGAGAAAGTGAGCATTAACAAATGCCTGATTACTGTAAACTAGCTCAGAAATGCCAGGGCACTAAATCATGCTGAAGCCTAACATTTCAAAACCAAAGCACTGGGTCTGCAGGTCCCTCCGAGATGCCTATGTGGAGCCTACATAGGCCACAAATTGCTTGGACGGGGGTGGGAGTCAGGAAGGATCTGCCCCCAGACCCAGCTAGGGATTGCCAGCCTTGGGACACCCTCCCAAGGGGGGTTCCTTACAGTGCCCATGCCCACTCCATCACCAAGGGCTGACAAAGCAACAAAGACCAAGGATCAGGCCCTGGCTCCATGGCGGGGTCCAGGTAGGATGGGGTGGGGAGTCAGGCAGGAGGGCAGGTGGAAGCACAAGGCCTCTTCAGTTTGGAAAGCCCACTGCCGCAGTGAGAGGGCAGGACCCCACAGTGGAAGGTGTGTCTGGATTCATTCACTCTTTCAACAAACACTTACAGCGTGTCTACAATATGCCAGGGACTGTGCTGGGCTTCGGGGACAGAAATGAGCAAGACAGACCCTGCCCTCAAGGAAATCACAATCTAGCTGAGGGGAAAGATGAACAAACTACTCCAGGGCGATGGACAGAATATGACAGGAGACGATGTTATGCTACAGGGCACCAAAAAGAAAGAGACCCAGATGGTCTCTCTGACCACACTGGACACAGCCTCAGTAGAGGGTGGGGGTCGTGGTGGCAGTAAAGGTTCTAGGGAGAAGAAACTCAAGGCTAAAAATCCAGGCTGAACAAGCCCACGGTGTTGGGAGAACTGCAAGCACTTCAGCAGAGCTCTAAAGGGTCTATGACAGGAAAAGAGCAGAGAAAAGTGAGGCTGGAGGGGAGAGAAAGGTGAGGCTGGAGGAGAGACAATGCAGTGATAAAAATGAAAATCCCAGGGTCAAGGCTGCCTGGGTACAGAGCCTCCATCCACGACTGACTTGCTCTGTTCACCTGGACAAACGACTTCATTTCCGTCTGCTTCAGTGTCTCCATCAGGAAAGTGGGGATCGCGCAGTGCGTACTGCATGGCACTGTTGCCAGGATCAAGACAAGGTACCTAAAGCTCGAGGTTCGACGTATGTAAGTTTGGTGACATGTGCTAAGCCAAGGAGTATGTGAATTGTGCTCACCTGAGTGTAAACGCTTGCAGGCAGATGATTCACTTCGGTCACTCCATGCAGCCACACATGATGGCCACACAACAAACGTGTATCCCCAAATGAGATCTCTAAGCCATGGCTCTAGCAGAAGGCTGTCAGGATAGAATTGGTGCCCTGGCTCTGGATGGAGAATGAATGGGCAGGGAAAAGCTCAGAGGCCAGGAGATGAGTTAAAAGGTTGCTGTCAAATCCCTTAAGAGAGGATGGAGCCTGAACCAAGCAGGGGTCTTGGTGGCAATGGAGAGAGAGGACAGAGGCAATGAAGAGAAGAAGGCTGATGGCCCCGGGGAACAGCTCTATGTTGGGGGTGGAAGGAAGAGTATTCAGGAAGGCTCCCAGGCTTCTGTCAGGGCCATGAGATAGGAACCCAGGTGGAGGAAGAGATTTGGGCTGGGGTTGGGAAAAGAGGCTTGAGATCAGCTTCAGAAGGGCTCAAATGGAGGTGCCTGTGGAGTATCCAGGGGAGATGGCCCTTAGTGAGCTGGTGTTATGGGTCTCACAGTCAGCAGTGGGGTCAGTACTGAAGATACGGATTTGGGAACCATTGTTTTAGGGAGCCCATAACAATACTGAAGAGAGAATGTGTACAGTGAGAACAAAGATGGAGCCCCAGGAGGGGCAGAAAAAGGGAACGTGGCCAGGAAGGCCACCATGTTTATTTAGCTGGCAACACACTAGACACCCTCTTTACCCGATAGGCAGCAATGGATAAAATGCAGCTTCTCCAGGAAGAGTTTCAGTAAATCATAGACAATGGATCTATTGACAGAGAGATGAGAACAGCTCAAAAGACAGGGTGATGTGAACCTCACAGGCAAAAAAGGGCTGAGTCCCTCCAGCCCAAGACTGCACCACCACATAGCATCTCTTACATTTGCATGAAGAGACCCTGGACTTGAGTCCCGGTTCTGCCACCAACTCACTGCCCTGGTGACCTTGGTGTATCACTTGCCTTTTGCTAGATGAAGAAACTGAGGCATGGACCTGCAGAGGACAACACAGCCTGTCCTGTCCATTCTGAGAGAGGAGGGAGGGAGACAAAGAGGGAAAATGCCCACCAAACCGCAGCTGCAAGACATCCAGTCCCATCAGAGGGCGGGGCTTGGATTACCCTAGGTGTTTTTCTAGAAGTGGAGCTCTGTGAGGTCAGGGCTTCTGAACTTGGGATGCATCAGTGTTTCAGAATACAACAGCTTCTTTCCAGCATACAAGTGTTAGCAGAGAAGAAATACACAAGACTCCCCAGGCTCTCGGGATGTTATCACTGTGCCCTCAGGTGCTTGTTGCCATGAAGGTGTAACTCCAGCAGGCACAAGAACAGATTCTAAGCCACTCTGCATGATTTAGGATCTGCCTCTAGAAAGTTGTTTTGATCAATGTCGACCCCTCAACCCAATAGTGTCACCAATTTCTTATCAGCTATTGATTACACACTTCACCCATGTCTTCTTATTCACTGCTCACTGCAACTCTGAGCAGTGAGTATTACTATCTTTTACAAAAAAATTAAAAAATATATACAGGGTGTGGTGGTGCACACCTGTGGTCCCAGCTATACAGGAGGCTAAGGTGTGAGGATCGCCTGAGCCCAGGAGGTTAAGGCTGCAGTGAGCTGTGATCGTGCCACTGCATTTTAGCCTGGGCAACAGAGTGAGAGTCTATGTCAAAAAAAAAAATAAAAAGACTACCTTTAGATCTAAGGATACATAAACAGACTAAGGGGATTTAAAAAACAACAACAACAAAACAGGACCTCAGAAACCTTCATGCAAAGCTACTTGATTAGTAAGGGGCAGCTCTGGGATTGAGGCCCAGCCTGTCTGGCACTAAAGTCCTAGTCTTTTGGATTTCATGGACTACTAAACCTCCAAAACTTGTGGGAACAAATAATAGCTTTCCAACTTCATATTCTGCCAAGTAACAATAATGCTTTAAACATCAAACAACCTAATCACCTTCGCTTCACAAAAGAAAGAACGTTTTTAAAATTCACACATGCACAGACACTCAAAGAGACAGAGAAGAAACACCTTTCCTTCCTGGGCAGGTTCTCAGCACCTGAGCCCCTGCCTTGTGTCTAGGAAGCTAAGACACAGCTAAGCCCCTGCCTTGCTGTGGAAGCTAAGCCCGTCTTGCATTATAGAAGCTGAAAATGGCAAATTCACTTACCTCCCTTGCTCCACCAACAGGACGCACCGACACACACTTTATATCAGAAACTGGTGACCCATAGGAGTGGGGAGAGCGCAGAACTGCAGCATTTGCAGCACCCACTTTTGGAAGCTTGGTGGTGCTGTTCTGGACCAACTGGAGGTCTGACCAGCAGGGCAGCTGTGGGGCCTTGTGGGGCCTGATCTGGGTATGACTGTTGTCATTCCTGGCCATGTGGCCTCTGAGCCTGGTTCTCCAACTACCCTGGAGACTCTGGGCTGACTAATATCCTTTTAATAAATTCCTTTTCTGTTTCAATTACCCAGGATTGGTTTCTGTTGCTTGCTACAAAGAATCTTGGATGATAGAACACAGTCTCAGAATAAGGACAGCACTTTAAATGCAATGCATTTAGTTCTATGAAAAACTCACTGCATGGTGTCAGTATTTTCCTCTGTTTGCTGCAGACCAGTCTGAGACCGGCAAGGATCTGTAGACGGGCATTTGGGGCTATGCTATGTGGCTTCCCCCATTGTCAAGGGATAACACACCAGAATGAGAAGCCCCATCATGGGTCACTCCCTGGCTGAAGGATCTCCAGTGGGTCCCCATACCTTTGGGGGAAAGAGGCTCAAATTGAGCTCTCCAGCCCCATGGGCCCCTCCTGCTCTCCCTGTGTGACCTCTGTACTTCAGCTGACATGCTTTCCACCCAGTCTGCAGGACCCAGCCAGCCTGAACCCACTCCACACCTGCTTCCCCTGCCACTGGGGGTCTCTCCTACTCACTGTCTGTTAATTTCTTGCTTTTAACAATTTCCTTTCTGAGACGGGATGGAGACATCTCTTTCTCCCACAGCATCCCTCCCACCCCGCCGCACAAACACATCCGTCTGCGCGGCCCCCACAGCCCCTAGTGCCACCCACTCTGTCTGCCCAGTCTCCCTGAACCTTCCCTGCAGGGGGCCGGCCCCAGCTCACAGGAAGCTTTGCACATTCATTTGAGATCCACTTTGTCTCCTCTCGCTCAGTGAGATGGAGAACAACTCATCTCTGTCCTCCACAGGAGGATCCTTCAAAGACAATTAAGTCCCTCCTCAGCCTCTTTCTTCTGAAATGAAATTATCCCTAATCCTTTATCCTGTCTTCAAGAGTTCTGTTTTCCAGTCCTTTAATGGAATGGACTCCATCTGGGGAACAGCACAGCTAGGAGGGCTAAGAAGCTCAGGCATGGGGTTCACAGACGTCTGTGAGAACAGCAGCCTCTTTTCCAATCATTTGCCAAGTGAAATTACCTTGTGAGTGACCAAAGACAACCCCGGGTCACTCTCTCTGTGCCTGATGCCACCTTACCCCACAGCAGGGTGCACGGGCCTCCCACCGCACCCGTGGGGGAAGAAGGGACACATTACAAAGGAAGGGCGGGAGCTAGGGACAAACTCAGGGCCATCGATGCCACCTTCAGAGCACCGGGCTTGGTGGGGACAGATGCACAGCTTACAAAGGGAACAAATGGGAAAATGAACAAACATTCCAAGACAAACACTGCAGGGCCATGAATCTGTGGTTTTTTCCATGAAGTCAATGGTTTCTTTCAAGGTGGGGAGCAGGTTGTTCTTTCTCCCGTCTCTCCCCAGGGGTGGAGACTCATTTTGGCATTAGAGAGGCATTGGGAGAGGGAAGAAAAGGAGGTGGGTCTTAATAAATGAGCGGATAGTTACATGAATTTTCAATTAACCTCTGCCCGGTGATGGCAGTCCTGGCTCAGTGGAGTAGAAAGGATGATATTATGAAACCCACGTCCATGTCTGGAGTGACCATATGGTGACACCCGTGTCCATGGGTCTGCAGTGACCAGCCCTCTGCCACAAAGAAAATGGATCACACAGCATGTGGGCAGTCAGGATGGAAATGGCTGGCCCCATGGTTGGCTTCAGCATGGAGATCAGCTCATCTGGCTAACTCAGTGCCAGCACGACTCCGCTGAAGAATTATCTTCAGTACAAATGATCCCCAATGTGAGGTCGAGGAGCTGCCTTGATCCTTTTAGTAGAAAACACCTTGTATCTCAGCTACACCCTGCGAGTTCACCGGGCCCAGTGCCTCACAGTGCCATCAGTTCATTACATGCATCCTGGGCCTCACCTTTCCACCGGATGAAATAGAGAACTGCAGGCATTTTTTTGAAGGCAAACGAGAAAATTGCCCAAAGAACCAAGTAATCTTCAAATGTCAAAAACATCTAGTGCTTGAATCACACTTAAGTAAGAGCATAGGAATTTGGCAAAGTGACAAGCAGTGGTTTACAACATGAAAGGTGACTTGGAAGCAGTCAAACAGAAGCAGAGGGAGAAGGATGCCTGCGCTGCTGAACCAGCCATCTCCCTCCAAGGCCGACACCTGCCATTTCCCATTTTGCGAGCTTCTTGCGGAGGAGACAAGTGGTCCTCATAGCATCCCGTGGACCACCCTGGCCAGCTACACCCAGTCTGTCAGAGGATTTCCGCAGTGTTGCCTTTGACCCCTGTGGAACTTTTTTGTCCAGGCCCAGGTGCTTGAAAGACCTTCCAAGATGCTTCTTGTCCACAGTAATCTCCACTCCCTCTGGTTCTCACAGCTCTGTCCCCAGCTCCAGCGGTCCCAGGCTCTCTCCTTCCCTCAAGGTAGTGGTCCTGGGGTCCTCCCACCCCTCCTAAGCCTTGGAGAACATTCAGTCCACAAGGCACCATTGGCCCATTTAGATGCACTGGTTCAAGTTTGAGCCCTGCAGCCCACCTGCATATCCAGCATGGCTCATGATTCTCTCCTCTTCCTTCTCTGTCCCCCAGTGCCCACTTCTCACTGGACTGAGTATTCCAGAAAGAGCTGGTGAGGGCTTGGTCAAGCAATCATAAACACTGCTGGGGCCTGAATTCAGAGCAATGGCATGAACTTGTTTGTATTAGTTCTCTGAAATTCCTCAACCATTGACACACCCTGAGCAGATATTAGGCGTGATCTGGCCACTCGACAAGCCCACAGCACCCCAACCCTGGAACTGTCCAGCCCAGTGGTCTCAGGTCAGAGATGGCCCTTCCATCCTACCTCTACCGCACCGCCCCCCCCCCCCCTTCACGCACACACATTTTTGCAACATACATACCCGACATACTCCAAGCATGGAAACCACCTCACATTCCCACAACACTTCCTCTGACACATCTGTTTCTTCTGCCCCAAATGCTCTCACCACCCTTTTCTCAACCTTTGCTACATTTCCTAAGAAGCGTAGAAGTCAGACATGCCCAAAGGAACTAAAAGTCATTCCAATGACAACATGAGTCAGAAAACATCCATGACGAAAATTCTGGCTCCTCCAGAGAGCTTTTAGTTATTAGACTGGGCCCATGCAAAGAACCCTAAGTGACTCAGATTAGAAACTTATCTCCACTCTGCCAAAAGAGCCCGAGGAGACCCTCAGAACCAATCTTTCAATGCTACTGATGCTGGGAGCTGCCATGCCCACATCTGGGAAGTGGAGAAGGCAGAACCAGCAGTACCTGTTAAGATTCCAGTGCAAGCTTGCATTTCCCAATGCAAGAAGAATAAGGATATTTTTGTCTCATCTCCCGACAGCGGGAATGGATGAGGCTGAGAAAACTCTTGCGGCACACACACAACAGAAGGAAATCTGGCCGACCTCACAACTCTCTTCTCGAGGTCCTGCCTTATTTGGATGTTACCTACCTTGGCAGCTTAGAGGTCATAACCCATCTCCCTCTCTCTACCCCCATGACCCATTACCTCGCCCTTCCATCCTACCTTGACCACACACACACACACACACACACACACACACACACACACACACACAATTTTTGCAACATACATACCCAATATACTCCAGGCATGGGAACTACTTCACATTCCCACAACACTTCCTCTGACACATCTGTTTATTCTGCCCCAAATGTTCTCACTACCCTGTCCTCAACCTTTGCTACATGTCACAAATCCCTAGGCCTTCTCTCACTCCCTTGAACTGCCCCTCCCTCACCTGGCCTCACAGGAGATTTGGACATCCCTATATTTCAACATTTGTCATATCGACATTATAACCCCATCTTGTGCCTCCACCATCTTTATCCATGCCACTGTGCCTGGCACAGAGCAGGTGCTTAATAAACATTTATTACATGAATAATTAGATAAATGATCTTAAATTTAAGCACGTAATTTAAGGGGCAAGGTATTTGAAGGCTCATTGTTCAGAAATGAGGGGCTGGGGGAGGAAGGGAAGGCTCTGGTCAGAGGAGGGAGGGAGCAGGAGAGACTTCCAAGTTCCATCTCTGTACTCAAGAGACTCACTCTGAAGGATGGGGCCTGTGAGTCTGGAGAGTAAGCAAGAGTTTACAGATGGGACGCTTTAGACGTGTGGTTTCCCGTGTTTACGTCTCTTTTATTACCTCCATTCTTGACTCAGCCAGCACATGGTGGAGGATACACAGGAAATGCAATGCCCTCCTCCACACCTGGGAAGTACTGTCTTTGGAAGTCAGAGTGTCGTCACAAGCAGCAGCAGCAGCAAGAGGTCTGAAGAGGACTGCGGACCAACAGCTTGACCCTTACTACTAAGATTCTTCTCTCAGAATCTTATGTGGATGATTCCTCGAAATTTCTGTCTCTGGCCCTGATGTCTCCTGTGAGTGAAAGCCAGACCCACACACATAACTGCCTATCTGCCACCACTGCCATGCCTCAGGAGTCCTCACACCCAGTCCTAAACAAAGCTCAGTTTTCTCCAATATACCTGACCCCTTCCACTGTTCCCAGTGCCCAGCACAGCACCACATCCATCCAGTAATCTAGGGGTCACCTTGAGACATCCCTCTCCTTTACTTCCCACCCTCGAACCCCCCACCCCAGCCTGCCCATTTACCTGTCTCCACATGCACCATCCCCTCAACTCTCTCCTGGACTCCCGCAGTCCTCTCCTAACTGTACCCCATTTCTTCTTCCTTAGTGTTTCACAGTGGCTTACCACATGGTAGCCAGGGCTGTCTTTGCAGAATGCCATTCCCTTGCTTAAAAACAGTCAGCCAGTCAGTGCTCTTGCAATAAAGACACAGCATACTTATGCGGCTAGACAAACCCTGCATGGCCTCTCCCTCCTAATTCTCCACTCTCCGCCTGTGCCATGCTCCCCTCTGGTTTCTTAATGCCAGTTTCTCTGACCTTTTCGCATCTCCTTGAAGGCACCATACTCTCTCCTGCACATGTATCTCCTCTGCCTGGAATGCATCATCCCTGCTCCTTCCCCAGCTCACCCTCCCTTTAAATGCTAAGCTTATCATTTCTTTAAATCTCAGATCAGTTCCCCCTACTCCCTGAATCCAAGAAGAGGCGGAGCTCCCTGTAATGGCACTGACCATCTTCCTTCATAGTGTTTATTGCCTTTTGCACTATCTGATAAACATCTGTCTCCCCCACTAGACTGTAAACTCCTTGAGGGAAAGAACCAGGCATGGTTTTGCTCCCTGTCGAGTTCCAACACCAAGCACAGTGCCTGGCACGCAGAAGGCACTCAGAGATTTGCTGAACCATGAAGAATGGGCTTGGGTTCTATTGAGGGAAGACGCACTGCCTTACAGTCTGGCTTCATAGGAGATAGTTACAACACAGAGGAATTGCTGATGGCAACATATTCCTTCCGAGGAAGATTTTCAAGTGGGAGAAAAACAACCTTCCCAAACTGGCATAAAAAGCAAAGAGTAAAAGATGAGTTGTTCGTCCAACGGAGGAAACGCACACCATCAGAACATTCACAAGCCGTCTGTGTGGGGATGTGGGGAGATTCCGCCCCCACCTCCAGCCATATGCTAGGAAGAATCAGGGTAGGAGAAATCCTTGCCTTTCCCATAACTGATAGAAGGCCTTAATCTGGAGAAGATGACAATATAATGTGAGCTCAGTACAGCTGCGGAGAGTGAAGTGCCTAGATATTACGGTCATATTTCTGGTCAGCCTTTCTCTTCTTCTTTGCTCTCTTCAAGGGGTTATCTTTGTGCTGCGAATGGAAAGTCCTTCAGGGATCACCAATGGGGAAAGTGATGTCTGACTGGTTCTTCATACTCACGTTTGTCTGGCTGTGAATGAATTTAAACCCAAGCTCAACAACAACAGGCTCTACCCAATCAGTCTGGGAACGTGTGTCCAGAACTAGCTCCCAAATTATTCTTTATGATTAGCCCCTCACACACCCCCCAACAAGGCAGAGCTGTGAACCCCAAACTCCTATCTGAAAGGTGCTCATCAGAGCTGTCATGGTTGTCTGTTGCTTCAGGGGAGGCCTACAAGGAGGGATTATTGCACACGAACACCGTATGCCCCAAATACATGATGCTACCAGGACTCGGGATTAGAGTCACAAAGAAACTTCAATGTGAAGACACAACGAGAGGCCGTTTTCCTTCAAATTAGAAAAGCTTCTTAAAAATGATAATACAAGCTCTCCCAGACATCCCTGGGTATACAGACAATCTTTTAGTACAATATTCAACATGTTTGAAGGCCTTAAAAAGAGTTCCATCCATCAGAAAGTTCAGTAACCCAGCAAGATACAAAATCAATGTACAAACATTAACAGCTTTTTTATTTGCCAGTAATAACTCATTAGCAAATATGTTGGGACAGAACGATCTCACTCTATGTATATGTAACATATAGGAATGAAGTTTCTAAGAGCAGCACAGAGCTCACATGAAGAAAGCCACAAATGTTTACAGAGAGATATGGAAGTAAACTCAAATAAACACAGAGAGAGCAAGAGTAAATGGAATAGCACATTCCTGAATGAGAAGACTCAATAATGTAGTCCAAATGTCAATTCTTTATAAATCAATTTACGGATCTCATCGAATTCATATGGCTATCATGTAAAAAAAAAACTCAATTTTTTTTTTTTTTTTTTTTTTTTTTTTTTTTTTTTTTAGCGTGAAATGCTTCTAAATTTCCTCTGGGCTATACAAGATATGTCAGACATAGTAGCCAAAAATATTTTGGGAAATAATAATAATGAAGATGATTTGTACTACCAGATTTTAAAACACAAAATGAAAACTTCAGCATTTGAAACAGTGTGGTATAGAACTAAGTTTGAATGAAACAGAATAAACAGCCTGGAAACACCCTCTAGTCTATACAAGAATTTAATGTTATCAGGAGGCCGAGGCAGGAGAATCACTTGAACCGGGAGGTGGAGTTGCAGTGAGTCAAGATCGCACCAATGCACTCCAGCCTGGATGACAAGAAACTCCGTCTCAAAACAACAACAACAACAACAACAAAAAACCCAACAAAGAATTTAATGTATGAGAGGTAGCATTTCAAATCAGGGAGGACAGAAAGATCATTCACTAAACGCAAATGGAAGAATTAAATGACTATTAAGAAAAAGTTAAATTCCGATCATATTTTATAGCAAAATGAGAAAACCTGATAAAAAGTTGAATTTGCAAAATGAATTGCAAAACAATTAGAAGAAAATGCAACTGCGCAGATATCCAAAGCCAGGATGGGGAAGGGCTTTCTAAGCCTAAAAACAAGAGGAAACACTGAACAACAAAAACGTTGATGATTCGTATAAGCAAAGTAAAGGCATCTATACAACCGAGAAACCATAAATGAATTTAGAATTCAAATGACAAACTGAAAAAATATTTCCAACATTATACCAAAAGGTTAATATCCTCTTATGCATAAAGAGCTCTTAAAAATCAATAAGAAAAAAGATGAATATAAATAGAAGGACAAACAGAGGACAGGTACGTCAATACACAGAAACAAATGCTCCAACCCACTGGTAATCAAGGAAACGCAACCGAGACCACGAGATACCATTACTCACCTACCTAACAGACTAAGATTAAAAAAAAATTATAATAGGATAGAATAGGGTAAAGTGAGTATTCACATGCTGCTCCACCTCTGACTTGGTAAATACAGTTCCAGGAATTAATCCTAAAGAAGTAACCCAAAATGTCCACAGATTTGTTCATCAGTATTTCATTGCAACGTTATTTATAGTAGCAAATTACTGAATTATCTAAATGGCAAAAAGGAAACAGTTAAATAAGACACATTAATATAACAGAATATAATGAAACATGGTCTTTTAAGATTGTTTCCAAATGAATAATGACAAGGGAGAAGCAATGCAAGGTTAAGAGGAAAAAAAGCAGGAAAGAAAATGATATATATAGTACGATCCCAATTCTGCTACAAAGTGACAAATAATAGATTCTAAAATGTTAATTGTTTTTTTATCTCTGGGTGATGAAATTTGCATGGTTTTTCTTTTGTTAAAATTTTCCATAAAGAACATTACTTTTATAATTGAAAAGTTACATAATTTTAAAGAGATCAAACCTTGGTAATTCTATTTCTAGAACTCTATGCAAACATGATCTCACATAAGTCTCATATCTACCCCATGAGGTTGGTATATTATCTTCACTTGACATGCACAGATAGAGACCAGGGTGGATATTGTGACAGGCTCAATATTACCCTCAGAGCTGGACCTTGGCAGATGTGTGTGATACCGAAATTGTGAACCAAAATGATATAAAAAGAACTATCCACCAGAGAGTTACAGTAGGAAAAAAAATACATCTGATGGGAATGGCATGCAGGCAGGATGGGATAAATGAAGCCATCCGGAAGTGATGTTTAAGAGTAATTTTCAATTACATGAGGCAATGTGTGTTGTATACTAAAGTAAAAAAGCAAGATGCAAAATTTCATGTGCAACATGGTCCCAACTAATGTGAAAATGCAAAGCAAAAGACTGGAGGACAATATGATAAAATATTAACAATCATCTCTAGATAATATGTGTGTTTTCTTTTCTTTTTTTTTTTTTTTTGAGATGGAGTCTTGCTTTGTCGCCCAGGCTGGAGTGCAGTGGTGTGATCTTGGCTCACTGCAACCTCTGCCTCCTGGGTTCAAGTGATTCTCCTGCCTCAGCCTCCCGAGTAGCTGAGATCACAGGTGCCCGCCACCATGCCCGATTAATTTTTGTATTTTAGTAGAGACGGGGTTTCATCATGTTGGTCAGGCTGGTATCGAACTTCTGACCTCAAATGATCCGCCTGCCTTGGCCTCCCAAAGTGGTAGGAGTACAGGCGTGAGCCACCACGCTCAGCCTAGACAATATATTTATTAGAGATTATTACTTTGTTGTTATACCTGAACATTTTACACAATGGATGTTGCCTTTTACTACCAAAACCTGTTCCACATTAACTTTCAAAAATGTGTATATCACCCACTATAATCCTACAACCCTCTTCCTTACACCTACCCATCCTTTAAGGCCAAGTTCAAAATTCATTTCCCCCATGAAGCCTTCCTGGATTTGCCCAGCCCATTCTGCTTGACCTCCAAAACCATGTGCTCAAAGTAAAGCCTTGACTCCTGGCTTCAGAAACTCTCACAACGGCATTGTAGCTCTTGGGCTGAGCTCCTTACCAAGTATCCTAGAACCCCTAGGATGGGGAGCAAACCATCTCCTGCTCGAGTCTTGTGTGTTGTGGTTGGGAGCTGAGCTTGCAGAACTGGTGCCAACATTGTTGGTCCTCATGGTTGGGGAAGGCATGGACAATGTCATCAGCAGGATCTGTGGAACTGGATGCCAGCCCCTGACCAGAACCAGTCCCTGATGAAGTTCTCATAGGCCATGGAAAAGGAGAAAACCTCAGATAATGCAGCAAATTTTCCAAAACACTAAACGTATTCAACTGCCCTCTATTCAGGGATTACATCTTTCCTACTTTTTGGTGTTAAAACATGCATTGTTTTGTCAAATGATGAGGTGATGAGTAGATGGTAATTTTTAAATGTCATTTTACAAACTAACAACTGGCCACATCTCAATTCCCCGGTTTCCATCATGTTTCATGGTCCGTAAAATAATAAACAATATAACTAACTTTTTTAGAAAAAATGGAGTTGAAAAAAAGGTATTACCTTTATAATCCAAACAATATTGGTATGGATTGAACAAAATTAGAATATTTGTTATGCATGAGAGAAGTATGCCTAATTATCCAATTAAAATAGCTACCTTTCCTTATCCCAGTTATTTTTCCTTATAACATTTATAATTATCTAAATCATACTCCAGTATTTGTTCTCCTTTTTTATGCCAAGTCTTCCTGTGGAGGATGTGTGTTCCACGAGGACAGGATCTGAGTCTGGCTCAAGCTGACACACAGTAGGTACTCAACAAATATGTGTAACATACATAAAGGAAAGAACTTGGACCTAGAGAAGGTGTCTTAAAATATGAGATTCAAGTTTCATGGAAGTTATGGATGGGGTCGACAATATACTAGCATGTGGAACTGTCTGTCTGGAGAAAACTCCTGCAAAGGATTCCTTTGGTCCCCAGTCATTCTGGGAATAAGACATAAAAAGAGAGTAGGTAAACACAGAGGGCAGATTCCTGGCCGGAAGTGTTGGCTTACAGGCTCGGCAGGACGTATTAAGTGGAAGCATACATACAACTCAATTGCAAGCAGCTCTCCACTTCCTGCTCTGCAGAACACTCTCCTTCCCCCAGGCCTCTCAGCTTCCCTTTAGAAAACAAATCGTTTTTACAGTAGTTGATGAGAAAATGCCCTCTTGTGGGCGTGACAGTGGACCACCTCGATCATGTCACGGATTTCTGAAAATGTGGTTATTCCAGAGAATTCCTTCACGAGATTTAAAGGATTTCTTTTTTTTAAATCTCAAACATCAATGCTTTGTTAAAGCAAAAATACATTTTCTAAGAGGCCATTAAACAGTCCTCAATTCACTTCGGCGTGTCTAACTTAGCAATGCAAGTTCTGATTATCTTAAACAGCATCATCACAAAGATAATTATTCTCCTTTCTAAATTTTTGTACGATTTGCTAATGACTGAGTGATTTTTTTTTTAATAGTCATCGCCCAGAATCTGCCTCTTTTTCTGCTCCCAGGGAACCATCACCTGAGATTGACGGGCAGCAATTGAAAATAATAAAATTATGTAAGATGAGCTTGTAATCACCAGCATTTCACAGGAAGCAAAACGCATTTCGTTCTGGCTGAGGAACAGAAAGTTTCTTCCTCATTTTAAATCTGTATCAGAGGTAAAGCCTTCTATTAAAACACAATTCTCTGTACACTTACAGCCTCTGGCAGGCTGCCAAGGAGACTATCATGGAACCACCGCTGCAGAGAAGTAGGCAGTCAAAGGCATCGAGGATTGCTCCTGAGAAAGGATGCAAAGTCTCCAGAATTCTTGGGAGGGCTCTGCCCACAGCTACCCCCCACCTCTTCTGGCCAGGCCTCCCTCCTCAAATGCAAACACATATGCACACACACGCACACACGCTCTTTTTCTGGGAGAGGCATGGCAAAAATAAACACTGAGAAAATTCTTCCCTGTCTTTTGCGCCTGCACACACACACACACACACACACACACACACACACACACTCTCTCTCTCTCTCTTTGGGTTTCATCTTCCCCTTTCTTTTCTCTTTTGGATGTATTATTGTTTTCATCATCATTATTATTAATAAATTGCAAACTCTGCAGTCCAGGACCTGGTTAATTGCACCTTTTTGCTGCATGTAATTTACAGGTACATGTGACCACTTGGGGGCACAGTTATTTGAGAATGCTGGCACTGGCATTCAATAAGGTATGCTTTTAAGGTTTGAAGCCTGCTTTAAGAAAGCCCCAAATCTTGACTCTTACTGGAGCCCCAGCATGGAAGAGAATCCTGAGAATTATTCCTTTAAGGTGAGTCTGAGATTCATTATGAGGGACATTTTTATATGGGATTATACAAAACCATTTGGTTCCTTTCCCATTTTAAAAACTGGTAGTTTAAAAATTTCTTCTACATGGCGGCCTGTCCTTTTTCTGTTTTCATCAGTCTTAATGTCAGCATGGACGTAAACACATACTGCTCACTATGGGATGGGGACGGGCATGGCAAAATTAACTTTCCTATGATAGTTAATTCTTTTGCCTTGTTAGGTAAATTTTTATCTTTCCCAATATGAAAAATACGCTTATTATTTTAAAAACCAGAAAATGTTATGGTAGAAAGATGACCACTGTTAATATTATGGCACATTTTCAGCCTTTTTATCTATGTTCTTTGTTTTCATATACTTGACATTATAGTGTACACTATATATATAGTATAGTACGTCTACAGTGAAAACTATATGTATATATACATATAAGATATATATACATACACATATAAGATTATATATGATATATAAGATATATACACATACATAGATTTAAAGAAATCAGGGATACATATGTATATGTACATATATATACACACACATATATAAGAAATCAGGGACACACATGTATTAATTAAGTTTCCTTATTAATTAAAAACTATTCTCTCAAATAACCAAACTTACAGTGAAATCACTGAAGAAACTTTGTTCTCAATATCCATAGAAATGTTTTATATTTTTCCCATGGTTTTCTCATCAGCAGAAAGGCAAGGAGGGTTATTTACACCACTTTTCCCCAACCCTCCTGCAGTGCCCAAACACACCTGTGAGGACAGGTTCTGCCCCAAGACAAGCCAGGCTGTTCAGTTCACAGCTGGGCAGAGCAGTCTGCTGGGGGATGCCAGGGAGATACAAACCCACGGGAGAGAGGGGGAAGGATGGGGGCGCTGGGACTCGGATTGCATGGCCTGGGCTTTCACCAGGGGCCCCTAGGCCCAAGGACCTAGATAAGCACACACTAGGTTAGTGTCCTGGAAAGATTCTAATCCGGTGTGTGGGAAAATGGAGCAAAGTTTATCTTTTCTGGCTCAGATTCAGATGCACAGTCATTTCACACCCCGGTGAAGGAATCCTTTATTGAGCCACACATTTTAGGAAATCACCCTTATTTCCATAGGACAATAGTCAACACTGAGAGGGTGAAAATCCACAGGGTTTGCATTTTCCACCCGGGACAGTGTGAAACAGCACTGGGCTCTTAGATGACCCCTCACCCAGACGGCCCTCCCATCCCCTCCTCCTGCCGGTCCTCGATGCTCTTCCCACGTCTGGGCTGCTGGGATTCCAGTTCTGGCTCTGCCCCTGACTGGCAAGCCTCAGGTATGGTAATTCTCTTTTTCTGCCCCTCGACTGTTGAAAGTGCAAAATGTGCCCAGCACTGGCCTAGATCCTTAGAGGAAAATCAACAACAGAATATAAATAAAAGGTGAGGTGATCATTTTCCACAGGAGCACATGGTCAAGTCAGCTGGGGACTCCCACGCAGCCCTGAAGCAGTTACCTCGAGAACTTGCATCAGGCAATCCTCAGAGATGTGGGGACTGCTCCCTACAAAGCTGCAAAGGACAGGCAGGATCTGAACCTGGCAGAGCCTTCTAGAGAATGAAGAGGAGAGATGGAAGCTGAGGGTAGCCTCAGTCCAGCCGGACAGAGGCTCCTTGGACCAGCAGATAGTCCCTCTGCTCAGCAATGCACCTTCCTGCCCCTCCCACTACTTCAGGCAGGAGCAGATCGCTTCCTCTGTCCCAGGTCTCCTGTGCCTACATGTGAGCGGGCATAACGCGTCAGGCCCTGACTTGCTGAGATGGGCTCCACACTCCATGTCTCTGTCATGTGAGCCTCTAAACTGAGGCTCTGATGACTACATAGCCCTCGGCTCCTGTATAGGCTCAGACACCATAGCAGTGCCGCCAACCTCATTCAGAGATGAATTCAGAAGAAGTCCTTTAGAAATCACAGGTGCATGTCCAAGCTGGGCCTTGCAAGCTTACCTCTCCCAGGTGAAGGTCAATTGTTAGCTGTCAGTGACCTGGTGGACTTAGGGTGGGGACCGGGGGTGTATAGAGTACGGTTTCTGAATGGAGAGAGGGAAACCGGCATAAATACTTTTTCTCTTGGAGGGCCCCCAAATTCTGTCTGCTTCATGAGGTTCCCCAGTGACCACAGCCCACCCTGATCAGTCTGTCCTGTCTCCACAGGTCTCTACTGTAGAGCAACAGTTGAAGTTGTCACCCACACACTCTCAACTTGCATTATCTATGTCATGACATGAGGTACTGCCCAGAAACGGGGCAGCAGAGGAAACTGACCTCAGGTGAAACTGGCTTTCACACGGATAAATTTGTCCATGTTACTGGAAGGCAGGAATTACCCTCCCACCTCCAACAGGCCTATGAAGGCAGACATGGGACAACAAAGGTATTCTTGATGCTATCATATGAGGTAGCTACGCTCCAAGAGATTAACTTGCCTATGATTGCATCATGTCCAGGTAGCCAGCTAGTGTTTGAGCCCAGATCTATTTGCAACAAAGGTGTAGCTTTCCCCCTCCCATACCACTTAGAGACAAGATCTTGCTATAGCACTCAGGCTGGAGCGCAGTGGTGCAATCTTGGCTCATTGCACCCTTAACCAGGAGGTTAATCCTTCTGCCCCTGCCTCCCAAGTAGCTGGGACTATAGGCGTGTACCACTACATCTGGCTAATTTAACATTTTTTTTTTTTGTAGAGATGGGGTCTCACTATTATATTTCCCAAGTTGACCTTTATTAACTCCTGGTTTCAAGCAACGCTCCCACCTTGGCCTCCCAAAGTGCTAGGATTACAGGTGTGAGCCACGGTGCCCAGCTGCATGGCTCTGCATTAGGCCTCACCATGTCATGAGATAAGATACTGCCCAGCATTGGGGAAATGAGGAGACACTGACCTCAGTGTTGGACTCAGAGGCTACAAACTCACCCAAGAATGGGTCACAGCAGAGAGAGCCAAGTCACTGGAAAGATGGAAAAGCTGTGGTGCTTCAGTCCCAGACTAATGGCTTTAATGTGGCTAAAGAGCATCTCAACCAGCCTCAAGGCTTCAATCCAGAAAGGAAGAGGCCAAGCTGGGGACAGGCCACCCAAACCCTGCCTGGGGCAGGGGCCGCTCTACTCCTCCACCTCCACCCTAGCCCCCTTGGGTATCTGATCACATCTGCAGGTGGCCGTCGGAGCTGGGGAAGGGTGTGGCAGCTATCACAGCTCAGGGACGTCAACCTGTTAAGGCCATCTGTCCACTTCCTGTCCCTAGTGCTGAGTCACCAAAAAAGCAAAACCCCCAGCACCGAAAACTTGAAGTGTGGCAAGCTCACTCTGCCGGGACACTCCCCAGTGGTCAGCTGACATCTTCACTCACTGTCAGCGGTCTCCAAACCACAGTGCCATCTCAATGTCCACCCACAGGAGAATGGATGCACAAACTGTATGGGATGGAGTACTAGTTAGCAGTAGAGTTAACTCCAGGGACACGCATCAGCACAGGTCAACAGCAGACGGCAGGCTGAGCAAGACCAGCAGGGCACACAAGAGTGCACACTGTGAGTTTCTGTCTACAAGAACATCGAGAACAGGCATAAACCCATGATGACTGACATCAGAAAGTGGTTGGAAAGAAGATGGGGGTTGACCAGAAGAGGGCAGGAGGGAACTTTCTGGGGTGATGAAAGTTACACAGGTTCATCATGCAGTTACACAGGTTCACAATTATTGAAACTCAGTGAACTGAACACTTGAGGCTGTAGATTTCATTGTATTGCTTCTCAACGATCACACCTCAAATAAAATAATAATAAATAAACGCAATGCAATGCTCAGCACAGAGCGGGTAACACGGCAAGTGCCCTAGAAGAGTTGCTAAATTGTAAAACACATTTTTTTCCTAGGTGAATTTTAAAAAGAATTTACTAGGAGAATCACTTTGGAATATGTTTGGAAATCTATTTTTTTATTGTGATGAAACATACATGCCATAACATTTACCATTTTAATCATTTTTAAATGTACAGTTCAGTGGCATTAAGTGCATGCACACTATTTTGCTATTTAGTTTTTATTTCATAATCATAAATTTAACTCTGCAATCCAGCTAGGCATGGAAGGGAACAAGGAAAACATGGAACCCAAAGGGAAATGCAGTGACAGCACAAAGATTCTAGGATACTGTGAGCAAATGGGGAGCAGGCATGCTCTCCTGAACTATAAAGGAATGGCTGAGTGGTGAAGATAAAACACAAGTCTAATTTATTGGAGTTGTCCACAGTCAGCAATGGTGATCTTCTTGCTAGTCTTGCCACTCCTGGACCCAAAGCGCTCCATGGCCTCCATAATCTTCATGCCTTCTTTCACCTTGCCAAATACTACATGCTTGCCATCCAACCACTCAGTCTTGGCAGTGCAGATGAAAAACTGGGAGCCATTCATGTTGGGTCCAGCATTTGCCATAGACAAGATGCCAGGGCCTGTATGCTTTAGGATGAAGTTCTCATCATCAAATTTCTCCCTGTAGATGGACTTGCCACCAGTGTCATTATGGTATGTGAAGTCACCACCCTGACACATAAAACCCTGGAATATTTCTGTGAAAGCAGGAACCCTTATAACCAAATCCGTTCTCTCCATGAAAGCATGAAAGTTCAGAGCATGAAAGTTTTCTGCTGTCTTTGGAACCTTCTCTGAAAACAGCTAGAAAGAGACATGGCCCAAGGGCTCACTATCGACAGCGATGTCGAAGAACACGGCAGGGTTGACCACGGCTGACAGTATGGGGATCCCAGCAGCGGCAGCAGCATCTGCAAAACCTACATGCATATTGTTTTGCAACCTTCTCCACCATCTATCTCCAGAGCATTTCATTTTCTTAAACTGAAACTCTTTGCGCATTAAACGATAACTCTCTCCCCACATCCCCTGGCAACTACCATTCTACCTCTGTCTGTGAATCCAATCCATACTACTCTAGGTACCTCATATAAGTGGAATCCTCCAGTAATGGTCCTTTCGTGACTGGCTTATTTCACTTAGTATAACGTCTTCAAGGTTCATCCACGCTATAGCGTGTGTCAAAAGTTCCTTCCTTTTTAAGGCTGAATCATCTTCCATTGTATGTATCTAGTGTATTTTGTTTATTCATTCATCACTGACGGACACTTGGGTTGCTTCTACCTTTTGGCTATTGTGAATGTGGTTGCTATGAGCAACACTAGTGTATGAACATCTGTTTGGGTCCCAGCTTTCACTTTTTTTGGGTATAGGCTCAGAAGCAGAATTGCTGGATCAGATGATAATTCTATGTTTAATTTTTTGAAGAATGGCCATAATGTTTTCCATAGCGGTTGCACAATTTGCATTTTCATGAGCAGTGCATAAGGGTTGCAGTTTCTCCACATCCTCACCAACACTTGTTATTTTCTGTTGTTGTTTATAGTCACGTTAATGGACGTGAAGTGGTATCTTATTGTGGTTTTGACTTCCATTTCCCCAATGATTAGTGATGTGGAGCATCTTTTTGTGTCCTTATTGGCCATTGGTATACCTTCTCTGGAGAGGTGTCTATTCAAGTCCTTTGCCCATTTTTTAATGGAGGTGTTTGTTTGTTGAGTTGAAAGCACGTTTTAATTGCCACTGTGCTGGCCTGACAGCCAAGCCCCACCCTCCTCACTGCCGCATGCTCAGTTCCCAGGCAGCAGTGTCTCACATCCTCCACCCAACCCCATCTCAGCACTGGTCACACCCAGCACAGGAATAAGGGCCTGATGGGCAACTGCCTCCCATTTTCCTGGGACCAAGGAGACTATACTTGGCCCAGGTGTCTATTTGAGCTATCAAAAAATGTTTCCGGAGACCAGGCATTCGGGAAGGTATACCAGGAATAAAAACAGCAGACAGTTACAGCTGTCAAATTGTGACTTCACAGTCAGTGAGTGACCACCCCACCCCTGCTGCCTCCCCCAGAGGTCCTCCTTAACAAAAACGCATTATTGTGGTATCTGCAGAATCAAGCTTTAAATTTTAAAACCTGAGCAGGGCCGTAGCTCTGAAAAGCCCTGCTCACTCAGTGATGTGAGGGAGAGCCTGTGGGGAGGGGCAAGGGCCAGGGGCCATCACTACAGCCCTCATCTAGAACTGGGGCTGGAGCCCCTGCCACAGGAGGGCCGTTTGTGTGCCTTTATCCCATCAAGGCAGCAGCAGGAGCTGCTCTCCTGACGAGGTTCTCCACGGCTGCCTGCGACCTTCCCTCTGTCCCAGTCACAGGTACCTTCCAGGTCTCAGAGCACAAATCCTCCCCTACCTTCCCCCGCACTGCCAGACCTCTACCCAGGGGCCACTAGAGCAGACCTTGTCAGACACCTGGGGCCAGGGAGGAAGCCTCCCTCAAGGTCACAAGTGAGGTGGTGACCTTATACAGAGAAAAAAAAGCGACTTCCCTGAAACACGCTTTCCATGAAAATCATTTTTCTCCTCTTGGGGGAAAGAGAGGAAATTTTAAAACTGAGAATCATCGTAGAAAAAGGCAGTTTCCCCACATCATATGAAGCCATCCAGGTGCTTCTTATTTTTACAACATGTTGCCATAGATGGGTAGATGGGGAAGCTTAGGTGCTTCCCTTTGGCAAATCGAGGCTTCGGCAAGAAATATGTTCCTTTCGCAGTCTGTATATTATTCAAGTTTTGATGATTAGCACTGGTTTTGATGATTAAAGCTGGTTGGAACAGCATGAACCGAAGAGATTACAGCAGGCTCTCCTCTAGAAGGATCGGCCTGACAAGCGCACTGCACGCAGCCTCCTGGTCCAACCAGCCCAGCTTCCAAATGAGGTATGCACCTTTCCCAAACTCCACGGCCCTTAATTTTGGTTTGAAAAGCCAGGGCTAGGTCATCTTATATGTCTTCCCATTGGCTAAATAAGCTAAGTCAATGGCAAAATAACTTACCCAAAACAAATAAGCTAATTCAATGGCAAAATAGGCTACCCAAATCTCAAGAGGTCAAAACAGGGCAGCATTGCAACAAATTGGCCTCAGGATGTATGTGGGTGGCTACGAGGGTCCCAAGCCAAGATCCTGAGGCTCTCACTCAGCATCAGGGAGACCGACTGGGGAGGCACCTAAACGCAGGGGATGCAGCCCTCCTTATGGCCACCAACAATGGCAGTTGAGTTCCAGGCAGGACAGACCAGGCTGCTGCCCCTGCTAATATGAGCACCACTGGGTTGGACAGAATTCAGCCCACTTGTTAACCTAAAGGTGGCAATATTGGTCTCACTGATGAGGGATTCTAGACCCAATTGTTATAAAATCACGGGACATGTCTTGCTTTGGCAAGACAACTGCAGCTAGGTTTCTTCCAGGCAGTTCTCTACGCCTACCTGCGGTGAAGAATCAGGTTTTGGGTTTTTGTTTACATCACCAATCTGTCAGGAACGAAAATGTGGTCCTACCTTGCATGATTAGCTCACACTCACACCATAGGCGGCTCTCCTGGTAACTCACCATGAGAGTCCAAGACCATGCAAACTGGTCTGTACCTAGTTAATGAGGGGAGCCCACGGATCATGCTGCCAAGGCAGTGTTGAATGCAATCGGAGTTTCTTTTTTTTTTTTTTCTTTCCTTTTTTGAGACGGAGTCTCACTCTGTCACCCAGGCTACAGTGCAGTGTTGCGATCTCAGCTCACTGCAACCTCTGCCTCCCTGGTTCAAGCGATTCTCCTGTCTCAGCCTCCTGAGTAGCTGGGATTACAGGCGCATGCCACCACGCCTGGCTAATTTTTGTAGCTTTGGTAGAGACCGGGTTTCACCATGTTGATGAGGCTGGTCTCAAACTCCTGACTTCATGATCCGCCCACCTCGGCCTCCCAAAGTGCTGGGATCACAGGCGTGAGCCACCATGCCTGGCCTGCAATCGTAGTTTCTAAATGCTTATTCCCAATTTATCTCGGCACACACTGGGAACAGTGTGGAAACAGACACCTATCTGTGACCTTAACTGGAGTAGCACCATTTTCTACCCCTCTCTACTGTGATGGAGAGACAAATCAATAGCAGCAGCGGCCAATGTAGGTGGTTAGGCAGAACCCAGTGGACCCATGGGTCACGGCCACAGCAGCATTCACAACTTGGTTCTCTCTGCTCTGGACTGTCTCACAGAATTTCTCGGGAAATTCCTGGACTGGACCACTCATTTCCATGGACTTCCTGGTGAGATGTGGTGCCCTGTCTCCTTCCTCTGTCACCTCAACACAATTCATTGAGCTCACAGTATTTGAACAACGAATATCCAGCCTGTGCCAGGACCAAGGAAGGCTAAAAGACAAAGTCCTTGCCTTCAAGGACCATGATCCCCAAGACGAGTCCAGAAATAACCATTGATGTTACCGATTTGGCATATGTCAGCACAGTTCTAAGCACTTTGCAAACAGGAACTCATTTAATCCTCAAGTATTTAATCTTCGTAGATCCAAATCAGCACACCCCAGGAAGCCTTCTGACCACAAAGAAAGGAGTCAGATACACCTAAGCCTTGCAGGCAAATTCAGAATTGAATTTTTGTTCCATTTGCAAAGATGAGGCCAGCACATTTAAGTCTGAAGGTACTTGAAATCATACTGGTGAGTCTCTTTAAATTTATTTCACACTTTAAAAGAAAATTAGCTGGACCTCAACTTACTATGTCAACTGTGATAATCAGTGAGCAATGTGGCTAAACATATGATTTTTTTATTCAAATAAGCAATTTATATTTCCTAGAAAAGGGAATATTGGCTCTCTTCCTTCTCCATAGGTAGGCAGGTGTCTGGAGGACAGGATCCTTCCTCCCTGTAACCCATCCGGCACCCATCATAGGCCTGGCACCCATGTTTGTTGATCTGAACTTGGGCAAATGCTTGGATCTCTCTAAATCAGCTGCAGAATAGCAATACCACCACTGTGAAGTCACCCATGCGACAGGGTGAGCAAAAATGAGATGCCACAGGAAAGGCAGTGCTCTTCCCACTGTGCCTTCTCAGTAAACAGTTATTCAATCTACCCTCATTTAGAAGCTCCAGGAGCTGAATATATATCCTTAAAGTTCCCTGGGAGGCTAAGCTTAGCTGCAGGTTTGATCCAGAAGCAGATGCTTAAAGCTGGAAGACGTGAAAAGTGAAGGTAAAGGAGAAAGGGAAGATTGTTTTTGTTTTTTGTTTTTAATCCCAATTTCACCGCTCTTCACCACTTCTCAGTGTTACTAAATGACCAAAAGGAAAGCAGGGATGTTCCGGCCGCTGTTGGGTCTTTAATTTGATCTAAGCCTTTGGCGTATGCTTTGCACAAAACAGAGACACAGAGTCCTCTTGTCTGCTCTTCCCTCACCGCCCACACCTCCAACTTGCTTCTAGGAGCTTTGTGGGGAAGCCTCAAGAAGAGGAAGCCTCATGCTTGACATTACTTCTAGGGTAGAGACAAGCCCAGGGGGAAGGGAGGGGCGGCAGCAGAGCTACACAGGAGTGACCGTGCCAGTGCCGGGCCAGCAGTCAGGTGGGGCCAGCCTCCCCACACCCCAAACCTCCTGTGTGGTCCAGATCCCAGGCACTGCAACCACGTCTTTCTCAAGGAGAATCTCAAACTGAAGAAGTCCCTCCTTGGCTGAATGTAGGTTGAAAGAGTTAAAACAGAGCAAACACATTTTTGTGGTGTGTGCTCCAGGCTCTATTCACACCCATCTCGAGAAAAAACTAATATAAAGAATAAAAATAGAACAGAAGAAGTTGGAAAATACAGTGTTATCGCCCTTCCCAAAGTGCCTCTGTGATTTCCAGGTGTTTCATTTTTTCCTTAAAACGATGCTTTTGTGAACTACTACAAATTTTGAAATCTGAGCAGAGACAACAACCCACAAGGAAAGCCCCTGAGAGAGGACAGACGGCACGGATGCTCAGAAGCGCCAGACAGACCCAGGTTGTCACTGCAACGATGAAGCTCCAAGAGAGAATTAGTCTTCAAAGTCTCAAATCATAAATCCTAGAAGATTCCATCCAGATTACAATTCATCAATAAGCATATTTAATAGATATATGCCCAAATATAGCATCAAAAATTCCACACAATGACAAACCATGAACATGTGACTACACAGCCACGGAGTGAAAAGAACATCCAAAAAGTCAGCTTTGATGTCTGTTATCTGACACCTTCTCCAGGCAAACATTTTTACCAGAGTTTTGTGCCAGGCACCAGGCTATGCATCGGTATGCAAACATGAACAAGCCCGGGTCAGCGATTAGTGGTTCTAGATGAATCTTTAACCCTTTCTACATTGTTTTTATTCTTTGATTTGCTATTTATTTACTATGCTGGCTCAAGATGGAAACAGACGCCATTCAAACACCTAAAAGTTTTTCTCATTAGCCTTCCAGAAACCACAGTAAATGGAAGCAGGTGCGCAAATCCAAAAGGTATCATGCATGTTGGTCAGACTTGATTAATATTGTTATTTTAGCTCACATTCCTTCTACTAGATTGATTTTACATAAAATGTTAATTAGTATAGACAACACAGTACCTGGTACAGGCAGTATGAAGTGGTGCAGATGCATGGGAAAAAACAAAGACATAGGCGCATGTGCACACACGAATAGGGGTGTGTGTGCAGAAAGGAAAACACAGACAGACTGGTAGCTGAGGGATCTGTGTTCAAACCCAGCTGAACAACGTGGCTAGGTTTGTGGCCTTGGGCCAGTTGATTACCACTGAGCCTCATCTTCATTTGTAAAATGTGGATAATCCCTACCTCGAAGCATTGATATGAGGATTAGAGATAATATATGTAAAGTACTCGGATATAGTGAGCAGCCATAACTGGAAGCTATTATTATTATATTATTGGGGCTTAATAAAGGTTTGGTGATTGAATAATAGGTAGATTAGCTGACCTCAAAAATCCACATCAACTCTAAAATTATGATACTAAAGATGGAATTAAAAGTTCACACATCAAATCAACTCAAGGGTATTTTTAACTATTGGAATTGTGATGCAAATGTCTTATGCTTTTCAGAATAAGTACTGATAGTGAGACTTACAGAACATAATATATATACATGCCCTGGTGTATGACTAAAACATTTATGATTGAAATTGAACAGGATTGGCATCTACAGTTTCTGAGATCTCTAGGGGTTGCTGCTGTCTCTTCTTCCACAGCTACTTTTCCTAAGCCCCCTTTGCAAAGCACTTCCCCAGGCCACTGTAATGTGGGTTTATGGAGGTTATCTGTTTTCACCCTCACAACCACCCTAGATAGCCACTACTGCTTCTTCCAATTTCATAAAAGAAAACTGAGGCTGGGTGAGATTAAGGATCTTTCCAAGGTCACACAGCTAGGAAGCACTGGAGACGGGACTTCAACGTGGACAGGAAGCCCATGTTTCTAATCCCTCTGCAGTATCACTGCAACTAGGACAAGCCCCCAAGGAAAGCATGAGATCAGAGACACTCGGGAGGAAATGCATACACAGAAAAGGAAGAACAAATGTCAGTAACATCTACTGCATTCTTTATTGGACAGTATTCTGTGTGACTGCATTCTCACCAAGTCTCTTCAATTGAAAACTTACATAATTTGTTAGTGTTAAAAGTCAAAATAGGGCTGGGCGCGGTGGCTAATGCCTATAATCCCAGAGTGAACTTTGGGAGGCAGAGACAGGCGAATTACCTGAGGTTGGGAGTTCGAGACCAGCCTGACCAACATGGAGAAACCCCATCTCCACTAAAAATACAAAATCAGCCGGGTATAGTGGCACGTGCCTGTAATCCCAGCTACTCAGGAGGCTGAGGCAGGATAATTGCTTGAACCCTTGAACGCGGGAGGCAGAGGTGGCAGTGAGCCAAGACTGCACCATTGCACTCCAGCCTGGGCAACAAGATCAAAACCCCGTCTCAAAACAAAGAAAACATCAAAATAGCAGCAATTCCACTTCTGGGTATAGACCCAGAAACACTGAAAACAGGATGTCTTATACTCCTGTTCACAGCAGCGTTATTCTCAGTAGCTACAACATGGAAGCAACCCAAATCTCCATCAACAGATGAATGGACAAACAAAATGTGGCCCATACATGCAATGCAATATTATTCAACCTTAAAAAGGAAGGAAAGCCTGTCCCATGCCACAAGATGTGATAAACCTGGAAGACGTTATGCTAAGTTTAACAAGCCCATCACAAAAGGATGAATGTGGCATGATTCCACTCACCTGAGGGATCTAAGGTAGTTGAATGTATAAACAGGAAGTAGAATGGCGGATGCCAGGGGCTGAGGGAGGTAGGAATGGGGACATGATGTTTAACGGGTATAGACTTTCAGTTCTGCAAGACGAAGGGTTCTGGAGCTTGCTTGCACAACAATGTGAATGCTACGAATGCACAGTTAAAAATGGTAAAGGTGGCTCATGCCTGTAATCCCAGCACTTTGGGAAGCTGAGGCGGGTGGATCACCTGAGGTCAGGAGTTCGAGACCAGCCTGGCCAACATGGTGAAACCCCGTCTCTACTAAAAATGCAAAAAAATTTGCTGGGCGTGGTGGCAGGCGCCTGTAATCCCAGCTACTCTGGAGGCTGAGGCAGGAGAATCTCATGAACCCAGGAGGCAGGGGTTGCAGCGAGCCAAGATTGTGTCATTGCACTCCAGCCTGAGTGACAGAGTGAAACTCCTTCTCAAAAAAAAAAAAAAAAAAAGTAAAGATGGTAAATTTTATGTGTTTTTAAACCATGGTTTAAACAAAGTGACAGAACATATATTTGTGTATATATAACTATATATATGTATGTGTATATATATGTGTGATTATCTGTTTACAAATATATATATACACATACATATATCCTTAAAATGATCAGTGATTTTAAAATGTCAAAAACCTACAAATCATAACAATAGACACCTGTGAGGCCAATGGCAGCCTGTAAATGGCCTAGCGGCTGTCGTCTTTGCGCACGCTAGATCCCCGGCCGTTACAACCATGCTCGCCGTTCTTGTTCCAGCTTGTGAGTCATCATTTGCAGCTGCACAGTCGAGAGTCTCTGAACTACTTGAATTTCATGCAGATACCCTCTCGCACAGAAAATGAGAACTCTTCTCCTTTCTACCCTAAAGGTGGAAATGCTCCCAAACGATAAAATTGATTTCACAAAGAACTCTGTTGCTACTTCCAGTGATCAACTTGCCTCATCTTAATTGGCAGTTTCAGTTTTCCTGTTTTCAAGTGGTTTCCTTGAAGAAAGTACAGGCTGCATTTACTGTGGGAGAAGTAAGCCTGTGGCGGTTGTAGGAAGAACCACAGAGTTTGCTTTCAGGGTGGTCCTGATCTCAGCATTTTTGATCTAAGGTGCAGGTAAAGAATTTGGATACATCTTTCCTTGTTAACCAAAATTAAGACCATTTTCTATGGTAAAATTTACTTCAGACAAAAGTACATTCCAGGAATTATGCTACCTAATTTTTTAGCACATCAGGCGATGACCCCAGATTACTTAAGAAATAAAAACTGACTATCTTCTACACAAACTACAGATATTCTACCAGCTTCCAAACATTTGCGTGGATATGTGTCTAGCACAGTGAAAGATGCTAAGACAGGCCTGGGAAACATATGATTTATCTGTTTAAACATATATTCCGCCCCCCCCTTTTTTTTTTCTGAGACTAGGTCTTGCTCTGTTGCCCAGTACAGTGGCGTGATCACTGTTCACTGCAGCCTCAACTTCCTGGGCTCCAGCAGTCCTCCCATCCACTAACACATTTCTTGTTCTCCAGTCCTCTTACACAGTAACTGCCTTGGTTTATCCTCATTCAGCACAACTAAAGGCTGGATTTCTTATTCATGATGTTTCTTCCTCCTCCTATCCCCAAGTAGGCACTTAGTTGACTGATTACAGAATCACAAAGTTGGTTATAATTCCATTTCTTCATCTGACTTTGAACTTAAGTGTTCCAATTACTTTGCCTGATCCTAATAAGTCAGTAGCGTGCTAATGCTTGCCTTGATATTTCTGAAATATACAGGGTTGTGATTAGCATGGGATTGCATCATTAGAAAGCTAAGTTGAAAGTGGGTGAGCAAAATCATCACTCGCATTTAAGTAAAACTGCCTGTTCAGTGGACTTACAATGTTACTATGATCCTAGGGGCACTATATGCTGTGACTAAATATATATTGTATTTGGAAAATCCTCTGCTGTTCTGAAAACTTCTGGCTTTGACCACTACTAGAAAAGACCCCAGGACAGACCTGCTCTAATATAGTCTCGAAGTCTCTCCAAGCCAGATACAACCGATGACACAAAGAATGCCTAAGCCATAACAGTACTGGGATTTTAAAAAAAAAAAAAAAAAAAAGAAGAAGAAAGAAAGAAAAAAAGGAAGGAAGCAAAAAGGAGGAAGGAAGGAAAAACTTTAGTTAGTTCTGCTGGACTGAATTGATGTCTCCCAGCCAAAAAGTGAGAAAGCTTTACAGTAAGCCTGCTGAAAGAAAGAAAAAAAAAACCCATGTACACATACATATCAAATGAGATGCCAAAAAATGACATTAGTATTAGGGGTGCCATTTGAGTTGATGAAAAAAAATTAACTCCTTTATATCTGTATGTAGCTGGGAATAGTGTAGGCTTTTAGAAACTAGCAGGAAAAAAGAAGGAGATACTTTAAACTAGGAATGGTTTGTAGCCAAATCAATTGATAAAAGAAGGAAAAAGATGGCACAACTAAAATTGATGCCAAAGATTTATAAGGTTGACTAAATAAAAATGAATGGATCACCATGGAAATGCATGAATACTGAAATAGGCAAGATTTGAATAGACTAATGATGTGCCTCACTTAAACTGACAGGTGTTGATAACAACGGTGACACTCAATCCACACCAACCGCCACACTTCCAACATGTTTATTCCTAGAAAACAGGCTGGATTTAGAGGTTCCTTTGGTAATAGTTTATAAGCAAAATGCATTTTCCGGTCTTAAAGTGACTGACTCAATGCTCATCTACTGGAAAAACAAAAAAAAGGTTTTTATCCATTTTGTTCCTAGATATGAGGAGCTGCAGTTAGCAAAAGTCATTCTCCTGGGCTCTACTAGTCTTTGTTTCAATAAACCTCCCACAAACCTGAATTCTCAGTCTTGCTTGTCTCCCACACTGAGTACTTGAAGTATGACCACCACTCATTAGAAACATAATTAAAAAGACACAACACTAGATCCCCACCCCCCATCACATTCAGATGAAAACCAATAACCCTTAATCTATTTGTTACCATGGCTACCATAGGATATTTTATTTCAGTAAAACTCTAGGTATTTCGTTTGGATTGCTGCTTGCAAATGAAAGTTGGAGACCTATAAATTTCCATAACCGAGAGACCGAGGAGAAGAAAATGTTTTTCTTAATCACAGGCAAATATGGTTTATAAGATGTTTGTGCAGAAAAGTTATTAAAATTGGTTAGATGCATCAGCCCATAAACCAATTTAAATGCCATTAAATTCATATAGAGTTTAAAAGGCACATGTGCTAGTAATTCCCTGATTTATAGCAGGGTGATAAATCAAGTGCACTCCAGCACAATGTATGGGACGGAGACTATTCATCAGTAGCACACAGCTCCATACCTGTATAAACACCTAGATTATGGACTAATCAAATACACGCATGCCAACCAGCCTTTAAAGTATTCACTAGTGCTTACTGGACATGTTTTCTCTAAGTGTCGGAAAGAACAATCTATAAAATTGTTCATTCTCCTCCCTCACAAAAAAATTAAAAAGCTCTATACCTTCTTTCCATAATAATAATAATAATAATAATAATAATAATAATAATAATAAATCAGGAATGAGGTGGGACAAGTCTGCTGTCATTCATCTGAAAATGAAGCAATTCCTCAAATCTGCCCTCCCAGGGCTGAGTTAGTGATAAGACCACACGGCGAGGAAGAAACTCTGTAGTGACTAGACAGATGACTTTAAAGAGACTGAAACTAGTATAAATACAGCCGTAACCAGGACAGATCTGTCATTGCAAGAGGAGTCCGAATCCCAGCGTTGCTGGACTGGAGAGAGGCTGGAACCTGCAGCAGCGGGCCGGGATGCCGCTGAGCTGCCGAAGTGGAAGTTTCGCAGGCAGCAGCAGCTCGGCGTCCTCCACGGTCTGGTCCCTCCAGCGCCGAGGTCTCGCCTAATGCTACATAAATACCTGCGTCCACGATTCGCCCGGGGCGCGCCGCGGCGCAAGCACGGGAGGGAGGGAGGAGAACGTTTGCAGAGCGGCGGGGATGGCAGCGGCGGCGGCGGCAGCTCCTTACCCATCAGCATCTCTGGGGGCCCGCGCGAGGGCCCGCCAACGGACCGCGTCTGCCGCTTGGTTCCACAGCCCAGGGACGACAACTGGCTTCTCAGCGGGTGGACCCAGGCATCCGAGACTCGCGCGTGGCCGCCACCCCCTCCTCCGAGACGGCTGGCCGCAGGCAGGCAGCGCGTCCCCGCCTTCCCCAGGCAACGCAGAGGCGACCTGCCCTAAGAGCCACCTCCGACCTACCCCGGCTCCCAGCCCCGCGCTCCGGCCCCAGGCGAGCACGTCCCTCCCTTGGGGCCCGGGGCCGACGCTGCCCAGCGCGGGCACCCGCGCGGCGACCGCAGATAACCCTAGCGCTCTCAGCCCGCTCCAGGCCACGGAGACCGGGACGCGAGCCCTGGGCTCCCCCGGCCCCCCGAGGCCATCGGGGCGCGCGTTCACACTCCCACACTACACATCTCCAGGTCCACCCTGTCCCACACATCAACAACCCCTCCCCAACGACACCACCTCCTGGCCGCTTCGCCGTCCCCGTGAGCTCTCCTTTCCGCGTCCCCCCACAACACGCTGGCACCCACAAGGTGTCAAGGGAAGTGTGCGTGTGTGTGTCGGGGTGGGGTGGGTCACAATAAGGTCTGTGCGGGTTCCCTCCCGACGGTTTTCGAGCTCATCTACCTCGAAAGTTACTTGGGATTGAGTAAAGAGACCCAGTCCCCAAATGCGAGATCAGAGGACGCGAGGGGCAGAAAACCCCAACCTGGCTTCTCGCTGCACAGAGGCGCGCACCTCCCCAAAGGACAGTGCGCGCGGCCGCCCCTGGGGGCCAGCCCTCCGTCGCCTCCAGGTCTCCTGCCCGGCCGGGGCCCTGGGCCGCTCAGGGGAACGTGGCCTGGAGAGGGGCGCGCGCCGCCGGGCCCAGCAGGGGGGCTGCTCCGGCCAGGGGTCACACAAGCCTCCAGCACCTCCGAACACCGTGACAGTGGCCCCAGGCAGCCCCGGTGCATACACACCCGGGGGCAGGAAGTTTTTTCCCCCCCTTTTTTTCCCCCTGGAGCAGCGCAGGCGCAAGGGCTCCTGCAGCCTGCGAGTCCAGACGCGGGAGGCTCCTGTCGCCGCCGCCGCCGCCGAAGCCGAGCCCAGGGTTCCGGGTTCCGGCCCCGCTCCCACGCCCGGCCCGGCCCGGCCCCACGCGGCGGCCAGGACCTGGGTCTCCCTCCGGCGCCGCATCCGAGGCGCTCCAGCCCGGCCCGGCTCTTACCTCCGGCGCGCGGCTCCGGCCCCGGCCCGACGCGCAGAGAGCCCGGGGTCGCGGGTGGGCGCAGGAGGGCTGATGGAGAGCGGACAGCGCCGGCGGGTAGCGGTGGCTGGGGCCGCTCGGGTCCTGGCCGGAGGAAACGGATCCAGGTCCTCCTCCTCGCGTTCCTGCTCTCCGCCTTCTCCCCTCGTTCCTCCTCCTCCTCCGCCGCCGCCGCCTCCCGGCAGCCCAGGGAGGATGCCCGGGAGAGGGAAGTCGGTCCTCCTGCCTGTCAGCCTGTGCGGCTATGAGCGGTGCGGCGCGGCTCTCATCGAGGCGGCGGCGGCGGCGGCGGCTCCGGCAGCATCGCCCCCGCCCTCTCCCCGCAGCCGCGGCGGCCGCGGGGCTGGGGCTGGCTCCGGGCTCGCGGCTCGGGCTCCGGGCGGGGGCTGCGCTCAAGCGCGGCGACCGCCGGGGCTGCGGACGGGCGCTGCGGAGCCGGGGCCGGGGCTGGAGCTGCGGCGAGATCCGCGGTGGCGGGGACGGCGGCGGCGGCGCGGGGGCTGGCGCGGCCGCGGCGCGGGGACCATGCTCCCTTCTGGCTCGCTCCGCTCCGGGTACCGTCTGCTTTAGCTGCGAGGGAGGCGGGCTTCGGCGCGCAGCCAGGGGCGGGCGGAGCCAATCACGGGCGCCCGAGTGGGCGGGGGTGGCGGGTGGGGGAGGCGGGGCCCTCTGGCCCGGCCCGGCCAGGCCGGGCCCCGTGCGCAGTTTCCCCGGCCCGAGGGATTCCCGGCTGCCGCGCGCCGGGTCCGAGGTTGGAGTGCTCGCGGGTGTGTCCGTCGGTCCGTCCGTCCGCCGCCCCCGCCCCCCGCGGTGGCCCCCGGCTCGCCTGGCTCCGCGGCCGCGCCCGGCAGACGCACGGCGCGTGGCACGGGCTGCTCCGCCGTGGCCTCCTGGCCTTGCTGGCCCAGGGTTGGGGGCCCGGGACTGAGGCGAGCTCCCCGTCTGCTCTCAACACCTGAGGAAACTGGCGGAAAAGTTTGAGAAGGAAAAAGTCCAATCGTCTTTCAGCTTCCGCCCTCTTTATGACACTCCAGCCTTGGAAAGGAGCAGGAATTGTCCACACCTCTGAAGGACCAGGGAGAGCCCTGCAAAGTGTCCACCAGCCTTCTGAGTCAGCCCTGCCTCTCCTGGGGCGCGCGACTTTTCTGTTCATACTGACCCTTAGGAATCCAGGAAGCCTTCTCTGTTTAACAGCCTGACCAGCCTTTGATGTCTATACCGACTACTCACCCCCACCACAGCTCGCTCTCTCTCACACTGTCTACACTGACTTCTCAGTCCCACCACCTCTCGGTCTACACATGCTGTCTACACAGACCCTAACTTCTAACCCTAATAGAAGAGATTTGGCCAGAGGCGTGTGGGACCCCCAATGAGGGCTTTTCCATTATGCTAGAATATTTCACTCTGGGCACAGTCTTCTCCACCCCGACCGCTCTCCTAATCTGGTTTTTATTCCCCGACCTCTCCCTCCTCCCCTACATCCCCTTTACCTGGTTTTGAGTTTCAGAGGAAATATCTGTACCTGCCCTCCTCCTCCACCCCTGTCTGAATGTAAAGGCCTGAGGGCCCAATCCTCATCCTCCACCCTCCCTCCGCTCCCCCGGGTAAAGGCCTGAGGCCTGAGGCCTTGCTAGAAATTGGAGTTGGGGTGCTGTAGGTAGTGTGGGGAGCTGGCTGTGGGGGCCCAGCTGGGAGGAGCTGGCCTGGGGAGGGCTTTGCCAGTCCTTGCCTCCATCTACCAGGGCCAAGGAGGACTGAGCCGGTAAATATTTTCTTCTCAGCTCCCCCCCTGTGATGTCTGATCCAGGCCTCTGCTCTCCTTGGCTGTAAACTCAGCGCACGGATTGTGTCTTCTTTAATATTTTGTAGGAAGCAGAGTACAGTGTCGTGGCTGATAAATAATAAATAATAATAATCTACTGAGGGTAGCAGGAGCACTGTCAGAAATGGAATGAGGACGCCGGGGAAATGGCCCACTAGTGTCAGAATAACTGCATTTCCTGGAAAAAACATCCAACAGAGTTTGTGTGTGTGAAGCCCGGGACTCAAGGGAGGGGACAGAGCGGAGCACTTCAGGGAGGAAGCCACCCTTCATGAGGACGACAGCCAGGAAAACTGGCGTGACCTTAAGAGAGGGTGACAGAGGTGCCGAAAAGGGGAGCAGGAGTGGGGGGGAGGGGGAGAAAAGCTCCCCAAGGGTCCTCAGACAACACCTGAAGGTGATCGATAGCTTTGGTTTGAGTACTATGTCCTTCAAATGGTATATGAAAAGTGATAGAAGAGTACTAGATAGCAAAATGGAAAAAAGAGGGATTTCTTGGGATTTCAAATTGATACACAGGTCAACCCAATGCAAAAAGAAGGAGAACAAAGCCACAGGCGTGTGTCTGTTCATCCACGCTGTAGGAAGCTGTCCTCTGAGATAATCTCCATGGATGCACTGACTGTGAACATGCAGAAGTCCACCCAGCCGTATTCTGGAGTAGCGCCCTATGTGACAGCTGTAGGCACTACAGAAATGTGGCCAAGGTTTGCAGGGTCTGGGATAGGTTAAGATCTGGCAATGTGAGGCACTCACAGTGTCTTACAGATGATTTTGAATGATCCTCAGTTGAAAGAAGAAAATAGGAACTCCAAGAATCCTTATTCAGCTACCTCTCCAGATGAAGGAGAAAGGATGCTCCCAATTTCCCTGCTGGCAGCATCAGAAAAGAGAGCTGTGCTGAGGTCTTATCCAGAGGAGGACCTACTCGGGCCATGGTGGTGCGAAGGGCGCTGGTTCTGGGGCACCGCAAACTCTTCAGGGCTGAAGTTTGGTAACAGCTCACCAGGGGAGCCAGCTTGTCAGGGAGAATGAGAAAAGCTGTGTGAATTAGACTCCCAGTGGGCTTGTCTACCCTGTCCTCACCCATCCTCGTTTTATCCAAGGCTTCCTCGTCATTGATGCTCTGCCCTGCTGGGAGCTGTTTAGTGTGGACACAGCCATTTATGAAGGGTCTGCGCTGGTCTGCATATGAGTTCCATTTCAGAGTGCTGTTGTTCACATGATCTGTCCCAGCGCATCTAGTGTCTTGGCAACATAAACTGGATTTGCATTGTGTCAGGGGTCTCCTCTCTCTCTCTCTCTACGTAGATCTTGCTGGTGTCTGGGATCTTTTTTGGGTCATTCTTTGCTCTACTCTGTGGCCCATGGGATGGGCCCCATGACTGGCATGGATCTCTCTGTGTGGTTCATGGGACTCGTGTGTTGTGCCCAGAAACCTCTTACACCATGGTCAAAGATTTCTCCATGAAACACAGGATTGACTTGGTGGTGTGTTCTCCAAAAGCCAACCCTCCCTGTCCTGAGCCCCAATCTGGGCACTGGGATCAGGACTAATGTGTACACTCCAAGCAGATGGGTAGTGAAGGAGCGGACTCATAGTGCATAGGGAAGTGGACTGGAACACTCCAGGACATCCATTCCCCGCTCAGATCATAGACCATTATCTGTGCAGTCAATCAGACAAGGACTTGTACTGGAAAGGCCACCATCACCCAAGGAGGAACCAGAGGAAGTCACATCAGGAACACCTGGGGTGCCACATAAACCCACAGTGGCCAAGGTGGACTTCTGTCCTTGTCTGTGTTTATGATAATAGCCACAACAAAAGGACCTTTACCCAGTGGCTACTATATGTCAGGCACTGTACCAAGAACTCTACCCATGATATCTTGTTAATCCTCACAGCAACCTGTGGAATTGGTGTTATCAGCCCCCAAAACTGAGTTCCAGAGAGGGTAGATGAGAACCTGCAATCACACAGTAAGTGACAGTGCTGGAATTTCAGCCTGATTGTCCCAAAGCCTCTGTTCTTTTTACCCCACCAAACACACAAATGCAGTTTCTTTTGTCATTAGCCCAGTGCTTTTCCCTTGGAGTAGATACAGTAGATGCTGATTTTTGCCTTCATCAGCAAAAGTCTTTACCCCAGACACATAACTGGAGATCAGTCATAGAACAGAGAGCACTAATGTAGAAGGGCACAGGTCCCTTTGATTACTGAACACTCAGGTCACTCGGAAGAGTGGAAGCCTCATCAGAAACCTTCGGGTTTGACAGGACATCTGTTTCCAGGAGCACGGTGGGTGTAAACAGAGCAGCTGCCAGCCTCTGTCCTGGTTGGGGTTTTGTGTTTGCTGGTTTTTCTTTTTTTTTTTTTTTAAACACATTATACTCTATTAAAACCACCCCTATTTGGCATCAAAAGCATTAATAAATCCCACATAAGGCACAGTCCCTCCAGTGGTTAATCAATCCATAAAAATCTATTTAGCACCTACTGTGTGTCCAGCATTTCAATCCCATGACGTTGATTAAAGCAGGAAGTAAGGAGTCACAGCTGCCAAATTTTCACCATGGCCACCGTGCTCTGTGATGTGTCACAAAGGCATTTGCCAATCATGCAATCAACCATTTACTGAGAACCTGCTTTGTTGCTCAACTCTGTGCTGGCGACTCTCAGGAAGACAGGGAAGGTATAAGGCGGCTTATACGCCAATCATTTTTACCCTGCCTATTTTCCAAAAAGTGATCGAGGTTTCCTAATACAATACTTGGCTCTTGTTCTTGACAAGGGTTAAGATAACAGCAGTTGTTATCAAGAAATATAACTTCGTGCTCACCTGTGGGGAAGAGACTCTCAAGTGTTGTGGGGTTAAGGGGACGATTCCCTAAGAGCTAGGCTGGTCAGGATGCCTTCCTGGAGGAGGAAGGTCTAAGACTGGACCTGACAAGGCAGTTTCTGTGGGAGGCAGAGGGAGCCTAGACCAGGCAGAGGGGAAGGCAGGGGCCAGGAGGTCAGGGGAGGGAGGATTGCTGGATTGGAGGACTCATTACCATATGATCGTTTCTAAAACACGACTTGTTGTTAAGTCATTTCCTTTGGGTGAAAGTGAAAGTGTATTTCCTTCCCCCCTCCTCCCACCACCCCCAGCCCGCCAAATCAGTGAAATATTAGATTCTAAGAGTCAGAATGAAACCAGTGGTGTCTTTTTTTGGCATTCTCAATGGCAAGAATTCAGCACCTTTTTTTAGTACCACTTGTTTGCAGGTGGCAGGAGTGCTAATTAGACAGAGCCACTAACAATTTTCCTGGGTGGCTCTGATTCCCAAACTGACATGAGACACTGCTTGGGCGTTTAAGAGAGCAGCTTCCGCTCTCTCCATTGGTAATGGGATTCTTCATCCATGGTGTCCGGAGGAATGGACTGAAGAGTTGCTCAGTATATAGTTATTGGTTGTTAAATTGTTGACAGTGATCAAAATGTCACTTTCCTTTTTCAATGTTAAAGAAGGGGCCGGTGTTTCTCTATGACAGATTATTAAAAATAAGACCCAGACGATTGTTAGGATAGATTGCAAGGAAAATTTAGTTTGAATTTTAGAGTGTTTTTTCACTCACTGAAGCATGTTCACTAATGATAAAATTCAGGAGACTTTTTTTTTTTGAGACAGAGTCTCACTCTATCACCCAGGCTGGAGTGCAATGGCATGATCTTGGCTCACTACAACCTCTACCTTCCAGTTCAAGAGATTTCTCCTGCCTCAGCCTCCGATGTAGCTGAGACTACAGGTGTGTGCCACCACGCTGGCGAATTTTTATTTTTATTTTTAGTAGAGATGAGGTTTCACCATGTTGGCCAGGCTGGTCTTGAACTCCTGACCTCAAGTGTTCTGCCTGCCTCTGCCTCCCAAAGTGCTGGAATTACAGGCCTGAGCCACCATGCCCGGCCAAAATTCAGGAGACTTTTGAGAGAGGATTGAGCCCTGATAGCTCTTGGCATAAATGTATTTTTAAGCTGTTTTTAAGAAAAAAGAGGTAAAGGTCCCACCTACCTCCTGTTCAACTCTAGAATCCATCAGTGCCACTGTTTCCATCTCCCTCTGGGTTTTTGGTAGGACGTAGGGCCAGTATCAGGTTTGTAATTATGGTCATTTTGGAGCCCCCAGTTGGGCCAGAGGAAGGCCAGTGACCACTCACCCAGCACAGGTGGTGACTGCTCTGCCTTGACCGTCCCCAGGACAGGGACCCTCCACTGTCCTCTGCCCTCTGCTGGGACCCAGGCAGCCTGAGAGGGGACCCAGTCCACATGGGCTACAGGGGGAGCACAGCAGGAGGAGACAGGATGACCTCGTGGTGACTTGGCAGTGAATCTCATTTTCATCAGCTATTTATTGAACACGCCTGGGTCCAGGGCTCTGTCTCAGGTGTTACTGGTAATCACCGTACCCCCCCCCCCCCCCCCCCCCGCCCCACAGCTGAAGTAGCCTGTCACGGTCACAAGCAAATGACAGCCTGTCTTCCAAGACACACATTCTCTATTCTCCCTGGAGATGGAAGTGTTGGGGGTCAAGTTTCATGCAGCCTCAGAGTCTGAGATTAACCTCGGTTTGCAGTGTGAAGTATCTAGTGGTTTCAGCTATTTTGGGTCCTCTGGACTATGTAAATCTGTATCTCCTCTTCATGTTCACCCCTACCAGAATCTGTGAAGCTGCACACACTTTCTGTGCTGAGGGGTCCAGGAGGAAACATTTATGAGACCACACCCAGTGGAAACATGAATGTTAACAGCATTGCTGAGGCTTCATGCCCAGGGAACAGAGGGTGACAAGGAAGGGATGATTTCACCAGGGTACCTGCTGAATATTTACCGAGGGTCTTAAAAATAGCCTAAAGTCTGTGATACAAGCCACCATCTGGTCCAGGTGCACCTTACTGTAAGAAAATATGATATATGAAAATTCAAAATTGTAAAGCAGAAGGATTTTCTAGTTTGCATCACAAAAGGATTCATGGGCTTCCCTTGAGTGAACCTATTCCCTTAGATACTTAATCTGTGGCTGATTTACTGGAAATTCAGTTCACATCCAACTGGTCAGAAACACACTAATTTATTTTCATTTATTTAAGATGTATCACCCAGCTACTTCCAAGAGGCCTTGAGCAACTCACAGGTTAACTCACAGGTTAAAACACGGGGCAAAAGAAGGCTTTTAGGAATGAAACAGGATAGGTGATGAGGTAGAGGCCTCAGGCACTCATGATGAATGGTTTGCCACAATTAGGCTCTAAGGAAAATAGTGCAAATATGCCGGGTTACCTGACTGTAGAAAGGAAGGAACATTTCTATCAGGTTATAAAATGGTTTGAATAGTAACTACTTAAAAATCAGAGACTATTACAAATGGAAGAATGTAGTATTGTTGAGATAAAAGGTTTCTCCTCTAGACTTTTGGAAACAAATGCTAACTGTGGAAAAGTATAACGCTGTAGGCCTGTTAACATTTTTCACTGCTCTCAAACCCTTAAAAATATTTACCAGACAATTTTCGTTAAAAAAATTTCAATCCTTTGTAGATTCATTTATTGCAGATTCAGGAAAATGATTGCGAATCAGACACATCTCCTTTAGGTGGCTGTGAATTTTCCTAGAATGCAATGAGTATTTTTTAGTTAAAGTCTAAACCCTCAATAATGTCGATATGGCTTCAGGACAACTTCAAAATTAGAGAGTTCTGGCTAATGTAAAATTTCACTAGATACACTCAGAATTTAAATAGGAGAATAGGCAGCTTTAGGAAAGAGTCAGAACAAGATTTGAAATCTAAGATATTTCTATACCAGTCTACAGGTAAAATCTTTTTTTTTTTTTTTTTTTTTGAGACACAGTCTCACTCTGTGCCCAGCCTGGAGTGCAGTGGTACGATCTTGGCTCACTGCAAACTCTGCTTCTGGGTACAAGCAATTCTTGTGACTCATCCTTCCGAGTAGCTGGGATTATAGGAGTGTGCCACCACACCCAGCTAATTTTTAGTACAGACAGGGTTTCTCTATGTTGGCCAGGCTAGTCTCGAACTCCTGGTCTTAAGTGATCCACCTGCCTCGGCCTCCCAAAGTTCTGGGATTACAGGTCTGAGACACTGTGCCTGGCAGTCTACAGGTAAATTCAATTAAACTGAATTTGAGATTTTAAAAGGGTACAGCTGTGACTTATCATTATACTCAAGGCCAGTTTTACTGGGAATTAAAATTGACGTGTGGCAGTTGATGTATATGTGTTGTTCAAAAGCAATGGAACGGTGAATTGGGGCGACAGTACATGAAATAATGATGTACGAATGATGACAATGTCAGCAAAAGCAGATAGTAGTTCAGCACTTACTATGCAACAGACACTGCTTAAAACTCTATTTTTCTTGTTTCTTTTTATTTTAAATATTTAGTAATATTTAACAATATTACATATTTTTATATGTAAATATGTACATATTTAAATATGCAATAATTTTCATGCAGACACGTAGTAGGAGGGAGTCCGGCTAGATGAAGGTTAAAGCTTCATCTGTCTCAAAACCAGAGTGGAAGTTGAACAGTGCCTTGCTCTGGGAAGCTCCGGGCATTCCTAGATGATGGCTGCATCTTACATGCTGCTGAAGTCTGACCTAAAGGAGACTGAAAGATAAGATGAGAATGAATGAAAGAAGCCCAACTGTATTAGTCATTTATTGCTGCCTATCAAATTTACCCAAAACTTAGCAGCTTAAAACAAACAAGATTTATTACCTCACACACTATCTGACGGTCAGGAATCGAAGAGCAGTGTGGCTGGGTGGTCCCGGCTCCGTGTTTCTCACAAAGTTGCAGTCAGACGTCAGCTGAGGCTACAGTCATCTCGAGTCTCTACTGGGGCTCATGGATTCAATGCCAAGTTTACTCGCATGACTGTTGGCTAGAGGCCTCAGTTCTTTGCCATGTGGCTCTCTTTACAGGGCTACCTGGTTTCTGCCTGAGCAGCAAGTGATGAAGGAGAGTGAGCGTATGAGAGAGTAAGAGAGTGAGCCCAATCGTGGACTGACCACACAATTGACCCTGGTTTACTGTGAGAAAGGACACAGACTGTGAACACCAGGAGGTAGGGATCATTGGATGCCATCTTGGAGGCTGGCTACCTCAACAATCATCTTAGATTCCATGATTTCTAGACAATGGAAGGATGACAGGACGTATTTCCCAGATTTCAGTAATTCAGGCTTCTGACAGTCCCCAAGAAATCAGAGGACATGAGACTCCAAAAAGAAGAGAGATGGCTCAAGAAGGTGGGAGAACTCCTGGTAGAATTCCAAATGTGTAAATTGCCAGTGCACTTGAAGAGAAATAGTAAGGTGGGAACAGGTTGCTGATGAGACCAGGGCAGCTCCTGGAGAAGCTCAACTTTGAGTAGAGCTGGCAAAAGGGAAAACAAGGAGCGATAGGTGTAGCAGAGTCACACAAGCCTAGTTTGCTAATTAGGTCTAATAAATTAAGGCAGTGAAATTGTAAGGATAACAACAACCAAAAAAAGCTTTTTTTTTTTTTGACATGGGCAGAAAATCAAGAAAGGAACTGCTCTGTGATTGTGGTCAGTTTCTGTGGCGCCAGCTCTTCCTGACTGCCTGACAACCACGATGTACCAGGCAAGGTGTGAAGTGCAGAGTACACAAAGGAAAGGTCACTGCCCTCAAAGGTCTCCCAATCAAATGGGAACGCAAATGCAAAATGCCATTCAGCATAATCAATACCATAATGAGATTCTGGCCAGGAAGGTCAGGGACACGAGGAAAGGCTCTGCAGTGCTACCTGGGGCAGGTGGGTCAGGGATGACCTGGTCGAAGAGATTACACTTGAACTGAGTCTCAAAGGATCAGCAGGAATTCGCCAAGTGAACCAAGGGAGAAAGGGCAGAGAAAAAGGAGACACCCAGCACAGAGGCGTGAAGTAGCCTGGCAGGCTGGGGAGCTGCTAGTGTTTTATATGATTAGAGCAAGGTGGAGGTGCAGACAGGGCTGGGGAGAACTGTGGAACCCACTTCGCAAGGCCTTGGGTGCCTGTACTGGGAGTGGACACGGCAGTGTTGGTCAAAATGGGGTCTTACATCAGAATCTCCTGGGAGGTTCATGAAAATGCAGTTTCTTAAGCCTTATCTTATGTCCATATGGGCAGACTGCTCAGCATAACTCTCTTTTCTTCCTGAGCTTGACTACATTTCCCAGCGTCCTTTGGAGTGAGACTACATCTCCCAGCATCCTGGCAGTTAGACAATTTTCTAGTCTCCTTTGCAGGTAGGTGCACTCATGTGACTGAGATCTAGCCAATAGAATGTGAATGCAGCTAATGCTTGCCATTTCCAGACCTGAGCCATTAAAATTGCCCTGCACCTTCTCCATACACTTTTCCTTCTCTTTATGTTTTTGCGCAGGGATCTTGGAAGCCCCATGTTGAAGGTGGCAGAGCAACAAAAATTGAGGAAACCCTGAATCCCTGAATTACTATTTGGAGATGACCACCCACTAATTCGGAACACTCATTATTGGGCTTTAGGAGAATGAGAAGTTCTATCATGTTTGAGACTCCGTACATCTTTGGATTTGTTTTAACAGCTAGTTTTACCCTGGCTAACATGGCAATTGACAGCCTCTGAGAGGAGATTTGGAGAATCTGCTTTTTTAACAAGTACTCCAGGGGAGTTTGAGAATCACTGCTGAAAGCCAAGGGGAGCCAGCCACCCAAGGATTTAACGCTGACCAAGGAACACCACGCTATTTGCATTTTAGAATGACAGCAAGGGAGCAGAACTCTGCCCCCTTCTTGTCTGCCAAGGAGAACAATCTACTGACTCAAAAGAAAAAGAAAACTTTGGTAAGAGAAAATTGAAGCTCTAGATGAGTGAAAAGATTCTAACAGCACCAAGCTGCCGTAAATGAGCTCAAGTCTCCTGGCCAGGACAAATTACACTCCAGGGAGTAGAGAGAACTCGCCTCTGAAGCTGTAAAGCCTCTGCTGATAATCTTTACAGAACATGGAGACTGTGAAAGAAATTGGAACGCTAGAAATGGCAAAATATAGCTCTGATTAGTAAAGAGGGGGAAAGCTTCTGCAAACTACAAAAGTGGGGCTATCCTATCCATCCTCATTAAATTCCCTGATCAGACTACTTAAGGCTGAGCTGTGAGTACGTGAAAAATGGAGCAGAATCCTCTAGAAGCCTGTGTGGGTTCTTTAAGAGCAAGCCACGACAAGGTAACTGTATTCCCAGTTTCGTGGTAGGCTTGCTAGATTATTATGTCAGGGAATTGTGTTAGCTATGGTAGAGACAAAGCACACCTCGGCTTGGTATCTGCCAAGGAATCTCATGATAAATTCGTGCATGAGATGAAGTAATTTCAGCTGCAGACCAGCATGCCTATTAGGTGGATTTAGAACTGTTTTTGTGGCCATTCCCAAAGATGCTAGTCAATGTCTTTGCGGAAGTAAATTTCTAGTTGAAGGCACAGTCGTCGTCGCGTGTCGCATTTGATATTTTTATTAGTGTGTGGACATAGATGACTTAGTTAATACCTAACACATTTTGAGGTGACATGCAGAGAATACTTTTGTTGACACACCAGGGCCCAAAGACTACAGTGCTAAGCTAAATGTAATGATATAAGATGAAACAGAGAAACGGTAGGGTCAGATGCTCCAGTCCAAACAGTCCCTGTGTGAGTGCAGGGCCAAGAGGCAAAAGCGTCTGGCAGAGAGTAAAAAACAAGAATCTCAGCTGACAGTAATGCGGCACGTTGTTCAGCTGCTCTAAGCCCAATGTGGTCTTGGGTTAAATTGAGGGAAGCATGAAAGAGGTGCTCTTTACACCTGGAATGTGGCATTTGGTGGTGAGTTCCCTTTTGTGAGATGCCTGAGAGTGTGGAGAGGAAGACGAGCGATGTGTCTCAGGGAGGGAGCTCTGAATCCTGTCATGTGAGAAACGTTTAAGGAACTGCAAGAGGTCAGTCTGAAGGTGAGAAAACTCAGAGTTTAGGTATGAAGCCTCTGGGGTTAGGCCTCTGAGACCTGCATGCAGTTATCCGAAGGCATGTCATTAGCAGAGGGGCCCTGGTTTCGGGAAAGCCCTAGCAGGCAAATTTCAGGTCTACCCCAGAGTGACCGTTCTGTACCCATCTCGCAGCTGCCTAAAACAGAGGAGCTTCTTGGGGTGGGAGCGCCTGTCAGTGGAGATGACCGAGTGGAGAGGAGAAAGTCCCCTGGAAGAGCTGAAGGCCTCTGATGGGTGTTTGGTCACAAAGGAATCGCTAATGTCACTATTAGTAGCTACTAGCTCTGGCTGCCCTTGGAGACATCGTAGAATGTGCTGGGCGCTGTGCTGAAGTAGGCTCAAAGCCCCATGTAGTTTTCTTTTGCTCCTGTAACAAATTACCCCAAAATCGTGGCTTAAAGCGACATACATGGATTATCTTACAGTTTTGGAAACCAGAGGCCAAGATCGAGGCATCTGCAGGGCTGTGTTCCTTCAGGAGGCTCTAGGAGGCTTTCCTTGCCTTTTCCAGCTGCCAGGAGCTGCCTGCACTCCTTGGCTCTTGGCTCCTTCCTTGGTCTTCAAGGCCAGCAGCAAAGTGTCTTTAACTCTTTCTCTGACCTCTCTTCTGCCATGGCATTGCTATCTCTGACTCTGAACTGCCTGCCTCCCTTTCAGAAGGACCCTTCTGATTATGCTAGGTCCACCCAGATAATCTAGGTCCCTCTCTTCATTTAATCAAATCTGTAAAGTTCCTTTTGCCATATAAGGTAACATATACACAGCTTTGGGGAATTAGGAAGACAACATGTTTGAGGGGCTGGTATTCTGTCTACTGCAAGTCCTTTGAGTTTCACTTCCATTCATTTAATCCCTCATTACCTTGAAGAGTTGGGCATCATTTCCACTTCACAAATAGAGAAACAGAGACACACAGAAGTTAGGTAAACACACAGCATTGCCATAAAATGGTGAGACTGGGATTCGAATCTGGATGTAACTCTCAAAGCCAGACCCTTAACCACTCGGATGCTATACTGTGTGTGTTATTATTATTATTAGAGTCTATAACTCTAAGCACTAATAATCGCTTTTCTTTAATGGTGTTAATTTAATGGTGACATTATTGCAGCCTGTGTTTTCCAAAATGTAACATAAGTCAGACATTTCTGGCTAATATGAAATGTAGCTGGCCTCCCCCTGTTCTCTCCTTAGCATCCTCAGCTAACAGCTTTCTCCCCTCCTGGATTTTGTCACCTTGGGCCTTCTCAGCTACAGGAGTTTGAAGCAGTGTTATTTTCTGGATTTGGATCTGACAATCTTTGTAGACTAAAGGTTACACAGCTGCTAAAGTTTGTTTTTAACCCAAAGTAACAGAGTTGTCAGGGATAATGTAAAAAGATTCCAGAAATGCAGGTTAAAAACCTACTGATTCTGCCAGGCAGCAGGAACAGTGATGCCAGGCTCTGGGATGATGGCATTTAGGCCCTGGGCAGACATAAAAAAGCACAGATCCGTTTGAAGCCCCCACTTCTCCTGGAGCTTAGGAGGTCCTACTGAGGTGGGCAGTGAGCAAGTGGCTGGGACAGTGAGTGTGTCACATCTCTTCTGTGGTTGTCCTTCCAGTGTTCCCAGCCTTGGCCATTTGGAACCACAGAGCACCATCCACCCTCCAGCTGAGGCACAATTCTCTCTGTGCTGGGCTGGACTGGGCTGGGCCCTGCGTCCAAGCTGAGCTGGATGTGGGCTGCGCAAAGCCTGTTGGACAGAGCCTCAGGCACAGGTGGAGGGGTCACTGTGACACCAGGAAGAGTCTGCCAGAATCTAGCAGGTGGACGAAAGAGTCCACAGGGCGCAGGAAGGGCTTGCCTGGGGTTGGGGGCTGTGAACTGACTGTGATGCAAGGAATGGCTGGATGGCTGGAGAGAAGTGAAAGGGCCTCCTGTCCACTGGATTCAGATCCTATTCAACTGCAGGGACCACGCTGACCCTCCTGAGCTGATGCTTCCTCTATGGGCCACACGGAAGTGCCATGGCCTCTTTTATCAAGTCTATATTATAGGTTTGGTGTTGATGGAGCACCTAAATTCTAGAAAGGAAGGAAATGAACATTTTTGAACATCTTCTTTTTGCCAGGCATTGGACCAGGAAGGAGAGAAATGGGGCCTTTTCTGGCCAGGTGCTCTCACTGACTCCGGGTACAAGGAAGAATACAATATGATTCCTGTCCTCAAGTCCACATGCCTGTGGATACTAACCTTTACACAGACAACATAAGAACTGAACAGGGTGGTATTTAATTAAGATAAAAGAAGTAGCAAGAGTAACAAGTAATAAGTGAGAATAAGTATTAAACTATGTACTGACTTTGGGAGTACCCAGGCTCCATTTTTATGCCAAATCTCTGGTGTTAAGGCATAAAAGATACTGTGTTTAGAACATGTCCTGAAAGGGAACATGTTCTAAAAAAAACACAAAACAGCAGAAAGGATAACGTTCTGCTGCTGACTTGTGTTCATTGTTCAACTTGTGGGCCACTAGGACTCTTGAATCTTCTTTCTCCATATTTGCATCTAATTAGCATTTGTGTAGTTGCTATCTTTCCCTGAAATGTTTCTTTCTCAACACTCAGTATTGCCGTAACAAGATGGGGAAACAGAGGAAATAATTTTTTTAAATGTTCAATTGATTTCCTTTTTTAAAAAGACACCTTTATTGAATTATTACATATCATAAAATTCATCTGTTTTATGTGTGCAACTCGATGAATTTTAGTAAATTTACAGAGGTGTGCAGCCATCACAACCAGCTTTAAAACATTTCCATTACCAGACAGAATAATTTAAGGGCACAATCCAATGAATGTGGGCATATTTAACCTACTTGAGCATGCATTTCTGAAACTGTTGTACTTAAGAAAATCTGTCAGCAAATTTTGAGTTGCTTCATGATATACTTTTGCAAGACAAAGCAAAATGTGCAGAAGGAAGGATCTGTGTGCCTGAAATCCTAAGAAACCATTATCTATTTTGCAGATCACTTTATTAATAAACAGATTATTACAAAAGTAATTATCTTAGAGATGACAATGCCATTAGCTAACCCATGTTGTTGTCTATTGGGACATATAAAAAGTCTTTTTAATTTGCTCTTCAAAAAATCACTTACACCCACAACACTACTTCAGTCAACAAAGTAAATCTAGGTATGGGAAAACCATGGCAAAAACTTTTTGCCATGCTTTACCTTTTTGTCTTTAAAATTTAATGTATTCATTTTCGTTCGGATTCTCTTTTCTCTCTTGATTCACTGGAGGAAGGATTTCTCTGGTGAAAAGTACCCCAATCTGATGCCTTTGCAAAAGCAGTCACCCCTCTGGCATGAAAGGCACCATTCAATCATCCAAACTCTTAGAGGTGAAGGGTACACTGAATAATGAGTGCTAAGATGGTGTCTATTGTATTATAAATACCCATTTTAGAAAACCCAATAGTCAGAAAGTTGAGAATCTGTTGCTGGATTCGCTGTTGGGGACTCCGCTGCTTTCATGGGTGAATCCTTCTGATATGGCTTCTTAGATGGAGGTCAAATCCCCTTCCTCCTAATCTCACACTTTATCCTCCTTACACTGTAGGTCAACAGATATAGAGAACTGTCTCTTCCCAAGCAGGAGGGGAATCATTCTTCCAATCGAGTATTGGGAAAAATGTGATCCAAGAGTCAAGCTTTTAAAGTGCTCTCAAATTCTATTTATAAAGATACGAAGGGGTAAATATTGTGTTGCTGTTTACTTTTATTAGAAAAACACAGACACCCAAAAACAACCTTGCATCAGAGATTTATTTAATTTTTATATTATTTTATTTTATTTTATTTTATTTTTTGAGACAGAGTCTCTCCGTGTCACCCAGGCTGGAGTGCAGTGGCAGGATCTCTGTTCACTGCAACCTCCGCCTCCTGGGCTCAAGCAATTCTCCTGCCTCAGCCTCCCAAGTAGCTGGTTTACAGATGCCCGCCACTGTGCCTGGCTTATTTTTGTATTTTTAGTACAGACGGGGTTTCGCTATGTTGGCCGGGCTGGTCTTGAACTCCTGAACTCAGGTGATCAGCCTGCCTTGGCCTTTCAAAGTGCTGGATTACAGGTGTGAGCCACTGTGCCTGGCCTAATATTTATTTGTAAATTTAAAAAGTTGACATTATCATATACTCAGAAAAGTACACAATTTTAAGAGTATAGCCTGATAAATGTTTACAGAGTGGACAAACTCATTTCAAGATACATAACATCACCCACATCCCCAAGGCTTCCTATACCCTTCCAACTCATTACCTCCACAAAGTAACTGACATCTGCCTTTCATCAAAATAGTTTTGCTTCATGAATGGAATCACACAGTATTTTTTTTTTGTATCTGGCTTTTTTCATTCAACATTAGTATCTGTGAAATTCATCTGTGTTGTTGCCTAGAGGAGTAGTTCAGTGTTTACATTGTTGTATGGTATTCCACTGCATGAGTACGCCATGATATATTTAATGTTTTTACTATTGATGAACATTTGGGTAGCTTCCAGTGTTTTTTAATCTCTTAGAAACAGTTTCGCTAAGAACATTTCAGGGCATATTCAGTATGTCTCGGTAGTCGTTTATCAGATTGAATCACTGGATCACGGCAATGCAATATTCAGCTTTAGTGGATAGGATGATAAAGACTTTCTAATTCTGTCCAGGCGAGGTAGCTCATGCCTGGAATCCCAGCACTTTGGGAGGCTGAGGCGGGAGGATCACTTGAGCCCAGGAGTTTAAGACGAGCCTGGACAGCATAATGAGATCTTGTCTTTACTAAAAATGGAAAAAAGAAAAATAAAGGCTTTCTAATTCTTGTGTCAATATTTGCAAGTTGTGTGTGTTTTTTTTTTTTTTTTTTTTTTTTTTTTTGAGACGGAGTCTCGTTCTGTCGCCCAGGCTGGAGTGCAGTGGCGCGATCTCCGCTCACTGCAAGCTCCGCCTTCCGGGTTCACGCCATTCTCCTGCCTCAGCCTCCCGAGCAGCTGGGACTACAGGCGCCCGCCACTGCGCCCGGCTAATTTTTTGTATTTTTTTAGTAGAGACGGGGTTTCACCGTGGTCTCGATCTCCTGACCTCGTGATCCGCCCACCTCGGCCTCCCAAAGTGCTGGGATTACAGGCGTGAGCCACCGCGCCCGGCCGTGTGTGTTTTTTAAAAAAGAAATGGTCTATTTCATCTAAATTGTCAAATTTTGGGGCACAAAGTTGTTCAGAACATCATCTGATTGCCACTTTGATGCTTGTGTGGATTTTTAGTGATGGCACCTTTTTCATGATTTATATTAGTAGTTCATTCCTTCTTTTTTCTTGATCAGTCTTTTGAGGGATTTGTAAATTGTATTAGTTTTTTCAAAGAACCGATTTTTGGCTCTGTTGATTTTTTTTTCTATTTTATGTTTATTTCATTTTTTGGCTTGTATTTTTATTATTTTTTTCCTTCTAATTTATTTGTCCCAATTTGATGTTCTTCTCTAGCTCCTAGAAATGGTCACTAAATCAATGATTTTCTCTCATTCTTTTTTTCCTAAAATACGTAATTAAGGTATACATTATTCCTTTAAACACAGTTTCAACTCTATTCTACAAGTTTTAACATGTTGGTTCTTCATTATTATTCAGTTCAGAATATTTTCTAATTTCCATTAAAATTGTAAATTTCCGATTTGTTGTTTTGAAACATGGGTTATTTAGAAGTGTTATTTAGTCATTTTCAAACATTTGGGGATTTAAAGAATGTTTCCTATTAATTTTTACTACATTTTCACACTTGTAAGAGGACATACTCTGTATGATTTCAGCCCTTTGAAATGTACTGAAATCTGCATCATGACTCAGAATATGACTTATTTTATTAAATGTTCCATGCATACTTGAAAAGAATGTAATCCCGTTATTGCTGGGCTCCGTGTTCTGTATATGTCACTAAGGTCACCCTTGTTTATCATGTTGTTCAAGTCTGTATCTTTACTGATTTATTGTCTGAAAGTTTATTCTATCAGTTACTGAAAGATGTATTTGAAATCTTCAACTATGATAATGGATGTGCTTTTCCTTTTATTTTTGTCAGTTTTTGCTTTGCACGTTTTAGGTTGTGTTTTTAGGTGCATACAAACTTCAGATTATCGAATCTTCCAGCTGAATTGGCTTTTTGTCATTATGAAATGCTCCTCTTTATCTCTGGAGATACTTCTTGCCTTACAGTCTTGCTTTGTCTGATATCGGTATAGCTAAGCCAGCTTTCTTTTCGTTAGTGTTTTCATGGCAAATTGTTTCTGTTTCTGTCTGTTGTAAGTAACATATAGCTGAGTCTTCTTGTTTTGTTTTGTTTTTATAGTCTGGCAATCTTTTTACTTTAATGGATTATTGAGTCCAGTTAAATTTTAATACATTCCTGATATTTTTGGTGTTCATTCTATGATTTTATTATTTGTTTTATATTTGTTCTATCTAGTTTTCTTCCATTTTTCTCTTTGCAGCCTTCTTTTAATTGTTTTTTATTATTCTATTTCCTCCCTCTATTAGGTTGTAAGTTATACATTCTTTTATTATTTGTTTAGTATTACCCAGAGTGGGGCTGATGAACTTCTGTAAAGGGTTAAATAGTAAATATTGGCCAGGCACAGTGGCTCACGCCTGTAATCCCAGCACTTTGGGAGGCCAAGGTGAGCGGATCACGAGGTCAGGAGATCGAGACAATCCTGGCCAACATGGTAAAACCCCGTCTCTACTAAAAATACAAAAATTAGCTGGGTGTGGTGGCACACGCCTCCAGTCCCAGCTAGTCGGGAGGCTGAGGCAGGAGACTCGCTTGAACCTAGGAAGTGGAGATTGTAATGAGCCGAGATTGCGCCACTGAACTCCAGCCTGGTGACAGACCGAGACTCCACCTCCAAAAAAAAAAAAAAAAAAAGTTAATATTTTAGGCTTTGAGCACCACCTTCAGTCTGTGACTTTCCTTCTTCCTCCCAATCCTTCTCCTCCTCCTCCTCCTCTTCCTTCTCTTCCTACCCCCACTATTCTTTAAAAATGCAAAAAACGTTCTTAGCTCTTCAACTGTACAGAACAGGCTCTGGGCTTGATTTTGGCAATGGAGACAGTTTAACAACCTGTACTAGAGATTTACCATATGTCTTAACAGAATCTACCCTTCAATTAATAATTTCACCACTTTCTGGGTGATACAGGAACCTCATACAACTTTGATTCCATTTACCTAACTCTCTTCTTCTGTTATGCTAGTTTGGTTGTGCTTTTTTTTCTCTACGTATTTGAAATCCTATAAGACATTCTTATGTTTATTGTTTGAAATAGACTATGTGCATTTCAGTGTACTCTCATATGTACCATTTCTTGCTCTCTATTGCTTTCTGCATTGCTGTTCTTCTAACTTGGATTGTTTTGTCTGAGTAAACTCCCTTTAAAGTATTTTTTTTAGTGTGTCTATGTTGACAACACTTTTTTTTAATTAAAAAAATTTCAATAGCTTTTGGGGTACCCGTGGTTTTTGGTTACATGGGTGAGTTATATAGTGGTGAATTCTGAGATTTTAGTGCACCTGTCCTGCCAGTAGTGTACATTGTACCTAATGTGTATTTTTAAAAAATCCCTGGTCTCCCTCCCACCCTCCCCCTTCTGAGCCTCTGAAGTCCATTTTATCACTCTGTATGCCTTTGCATACTCATAGCTTCGCTCCCACTTATAAGTGAGAACATATGTATTTGGTTTTCCACTCCTGTTACTCCACCTAGAATAACAGCCTCCAGCCCCATCCAAGTTGCTGTTAAATAAATTATTTTGTTCCTTTTAATGGCTGTGTAGTATTCCATGGTGTATATATACCACATTTTCTTTATCCACTCATTGACAACACATTCACTATTCGCTCAGTTTTTATTCACCTGAGATATTTGTTAACCTTCATTTGTAAGGGTATTTTCACTGGTTGTAGAATTCTAGGCTACCCGTTATTTTATTTTGGCATTTATCTTCATCCTTCTCTTGTCTTCTGGCTTCTACTGCTTGTGTGGATTAGGTCTTGTTGCTCCTTAATGTATCTTTTTTCCCTTCCTCTGGCTATTTTAAATTTTTCTCTTGTCTTTGATTTTTTGGAGCTCTACTCTAATGTGCCTTTGTATCGTTTTCTTTGTTTTTCTGTGTTTGAATTTTGCTCGAGCTCCTTGAATCTGTATATTAATATAATTCTTGGGTTTTATCTCCTCAGACATGGCTTCTGTCCATTTCTCTGTTTTCCACTTCTTGGACTCAAATTCCATTTATGTTGGTTCTTTTCATTGTGTCCCACATCTTTCTTATGCTTCTCTCTCCCTCTCTCTCTGTCTGTCTCCTTCGCTCTGTTTGTACATACATGTGTGTTTAATCTTTTTTCCTTCTGCTTCAATTTGGTTATTTTTCTGCTGACCTAATTGCCAATTTACTAATCCTTTCTTCTGCTGTTAAATCCATCTATTGAATTTCCTTCTTTCTTTCTTTCTTTCTTTCTTTCTTTCTTTCTTTCTTTCTTTCTTTCTTTCTTTCTTTCTTTCTTTCCTTCCTTCCTTCCTTCCTTCTTTCCTCTCTCTCTCCTTCCTTCCTTCCTCCCTCCCTCCCTCCCTCTCTTCTCTCTCTCTCTCTCTCTCTTTCCTTCAAGACAGGGTCTTGCTGTGTCACCCAGGCTGGAGTACAGTGGTGAAATCATAGGTCATTTCAGTCTTGAACTCCTGGGCTCAAGCAGTCCTCCCGCCTCAGCCTCCCCAAAAGCTAGGACTACAGGTGTGTGCCACCACACTCAGCTAATTTTTAAATTTAAAAATAAATAGAGATGAGGGTCTCAGTATATTGCCCAGGCTGGTCTTGAACTCCTGGCATCAAGCAGTCATCCTCCCTGGGCCTCCCAGAGTCCTGGGGTTATAGGCGTGAGCCACTGCACTCGACTTCTGTTGAATTTTTAATTTTAGTTATTGTCTTTCTCAGTTCCTATGGGTTTCTTCTTAGATTCCAATTCTCTACCTTTTAATCTATTTTTTGATGAAAATATTTATTCATATTAATAAACTATTAATACAGTCTTTGTTTGTTAACCCTAGTACCTGGGCCACCTATACGTCTCTTTTTAAAGTCTCTCTCCTTTTCAAACTTGGCTTCATTTCATATCCCCTGGAATACTGGGTGATTTTTGACTGAATACTGGATATTGCGAATGAAATATCGCTGAGGCTCCAGATAATGTTGCTTTCCTTTACAGAGGTGTTTATTTTTTCCCCAGCAACAGTTAAAGAGGGGGCAAATCACCTTGATCTAATCACAAATTGAGATATTTAGAGACTGAGTTTTAGGCTTTGTGAGGGATGGTCTATGTCTGGCTTGGTTTTACTCTTAGTGTCCATCTACTGTATAATCCTTCTGTTGTCTCAACGGAAAATCTAGGCTATTTACCAACATCTCTCCTTCTTGGTGGGCCCTGAAATTCAATATTTTTTCTCCCCATCACTTTGAGATTGTTCAAACTCTGCTGGGTTTCCAGCCTGTTTACGGCTTAGTTTCCCGGTCTCTTGCCCATCAAATGCAATGTGAGGAATGAGAAAATCCCTTGAGGGGGAGTCATACACAGAATGCCTAGCTCATTTCTATATGGCCTATTTCTCCAGGATAAGGGTCCCCATTGTTCTGGTCACTTTGGTAGCTTTGAACTCTAATTTTTGTCTGTCCAGATTAGCAAGGCTGCTGCAGGTCTAGGCCAATGTTTCTGCTCTGTCTCAATGACATCCTTTGAGAGCCAGCAAATGCCCTGAGGGGAAAACGTGGGGGAAATGGAGGATTTACTCACTGCATTTCCCTTCACTCCAGGATCTTGGCCCCTAAAGTCCTGGCTGCCTTTGTTACTCTCTGATGACTCTTAACAGCTGTTTTTTGAAATATATTTAGCTTTTATAGTTGTTCTCTGCAGGATGGTTAACCTGACACAAGCTACTCAGTCATAGACAGAAGGCAAAGTCTCCAGAGATTTATTTTTAAAAGTGGTTTCCAGGACATGTCCTGAGGCCATCACACATTTAGCTATATCTCCTGCATCTTTTTGAGGCATCCCCAACGGAGGGCTGGCAAGGTCTTTGGTGTCTTTAGCATCATCAAAAATAAATTGTTAAGCTCTGTTGAGTAAGATTTGTATGTATTTACTATAAATATTTTAAAATTGAGATTAATGTGCCAAGTCTGATCATTTTGAATCAAATCACTCAGTTTACCATAACACCAATTCTCCAACTTTCAAGGTTTTATAGTCTTTCACTTTTACATTGTGAAACATTCAGTTTCAAGCATACACACACACATATCTGCCCCTCCTCCCCTGGGAGCCATGTGACTGTGGTCCAGCCTCTTTCAATCTCTGGCCCTTAGTGTCTGCATTTGGAATAGGAGGTAGGTAGAGGCAGAGAGTGGGTTAGTACCAGGCAAGCTCACGGGGTCTTTACTGCTCTGGTGGTCAATCTATCTTCCATGACTTGGACTGGGGAACATTGGTGAAATGAGACATTTAGCCTGCTCTGAGCTAGAGGTCTTTACTTGGGGCCATAGAACTTGCTCTGCTAAGTCAGTTAGCCTTGTGGCTGTGGAGCCAGTTCTTAAGCAGGAGGGAGCTAAAGGGACCAGGCTCAGGCTGTCTTTGTGGACAGGCAAGGGCCCGGGGCAGTGGGTCTCATGGGGACCAACATCCCAGTGGAATGAAGAATGAGAAAGCATCTCACGCTGCACCTGCTCCCCCTTCCCAAACCTGCATCATTCACCCATTTCAGCTGGGAATTTCAAAGCCAGAGGTGGCCACTTCCCCAATTTGTCCAAAACATCCTCCTCTGGATATTCCTGAATACAATATACTGTCGTATAAGAAATGTCTGAAAAACTCTGACCCTTCCTTTTCCACGTGATGGTTTTCAAATCTTAGGTTCAGAATCCACCTCTGTGCTGTCCTGAGCCGGTTTCCTCCCCTCCCCTGCTCAGCTCCATGTCACAGGCAGTTGCATAGGTTGGATGCTTTTCCAGACTACCCTGTCTGTGGACTCCTGGCTGGTTTGGGCAATGAAAAGCACTGGAAGGAGACTTGACAGCAAGAAGCAGGGAGAAGCTGGTGCATTTCTCTCCTTTTCTCCTTGCCTTAGATGGAGTCCTAGGCAGAAGCAGCAATGTCCATGGCCCCAGCTCCTTGTGGATGGACTCACTGTCTACCTACCAGGTGACCCCAGCCACCTGACCTGGGCAACTTTGTGGCTCTTCTTTGTTCCTCCATCCAAAGGGTGGTAGTAGCTTCTTGCCGTGCTCATCTATAGAGCACCTGGCACCACTGCTCTCTCCCCAGCTTCTTCATCATGTGTAATACCAATAAGTTGTTATTGAGTCCCCTCTGTATGGAGACTTGGAGGGCTGCTGTTTCTTGTTCAGAACCTAATTTAGTTGCTAAAAACTGTACTTCAAATACCTTTTACTTTCATAGATATATAATTTAAGCACCACAGAAACATATTTGCTTCCCTTTATCACCTCCTAAGGTAGATGGCATTATATATTCATTCAACAAATATTTATTGAGACACTGCTCGATACCCTAGCTAAGTACTGTGCTAAGGGATACAGCAGTGAGCAAAACAGGCAATGTCTCTGACCTTGCAGAGCTCACAGCTTTGCAGGCAAGACAGCCTGAAATCCTTGGAATAAAAGGTGTTGAGAATGAGACGTTGTTGTAACTTACAGACTTAGGAGACAGACAGAATTGGGTTTATACCTCAGCCCTGCAACTTACTCTAGGCTATATCAACATGGGCAACATACTTCACCTACACATGCCTCAGTTTCCTCTTCTTTAGATGAGTATTCAGTTATCCAGCTCATGGCACTCCTAACCATTTTACATGTACGGTGAGGATGCTAATGTTGCTAACTTTGCAAGGCTGTTCATGATTAAATGAGTTGCTATTGGAGAAAGAGACAGATGCCCAGGAAACAAACTCACCTCAAAGATTTATTTTTAAAAACTGCTTCCAGGAAGCACACATTCAGCACTGCTGGCAGTCAAGTGGGGAAGGTGAGGTGAGCCTAGAAATGGGGCAAGAAGGGCCGAAGTCAAAATTTTGGACAGAGACAGCTGCTAGGAGGAGCACTCAGTCACCAGGTTAGGGTGACGCCCATGGCGAGTTCTGCTGGCAGAAATGCACAGCCACCCTGGCCTGCATGTGAGTGGGCCCCTTCTCTCCTCTTTGCTTGGCCAAAATGTCACTCCCTCCAGAGAGGGCTCACTAACTTCTAGTCTGAGTTGGGTGTCCCTGGTACTTCTGTACTTCTTCAGTCATAGTTGTAAACATTGCCATCAACATCTCCATCATCATCATCGTCATCATCATCATCATCATCATCATCATCATTGCTAACATTCGCTGGGCATGCACTCACACTGCATTCCAGACATTGCACTATGGCCTCTCATGGCAGAGTCTGGGTAGCAGCTCAAGTCTAGTGCTTTTTTTTATTTCTCCACATCATTAAGACCAAAACGTCTAATGATTTCTAGAGAGGGAGGGAGAAGTGTGTGTCTGTGTGTGTCTGTGTGTGTGTGTGTGTGTGTGTGTATAAACCTGCATGTGCCACAATAATTGAAAGTTGCATGATTTCAAATCGTCAAAGATTCAAGATTAAGCTATGCCGAGTAAAATTTTGACATGAATTGTGTTGCTGTTTTTTGAAAATTAGGATTTCACGTGAATTAGAGGGACTCATAGGTTGCTGCCGTTAGAGTCAGAGGCCCGGATTCATCAGCCTCTGTTCTTTGCTCCCACCCTCGAGGCTGCGCGTGACAAGTCTTCTGATGCAACCCCTCGTGCCCTGGGTCCATTTCCTGCTGCCCCTCCCTCTCCTGCTTGACCACGTGCTGGGGCCTCCTAGTGGCCTTGTCACCTCTTTGGATTCAGATTTAAATGAATCATTTACTTACATTTTACTCACATTTGAAAATCATTCTACAAACAACATTCTAATGGCGTTAAACAACTGCAGAATCTAATGAAAACCAGTCTTAACCTCACTGGAATCTCATTAAGAAGAGGGCAGCTCTTTTTTTGTGTGAAATTGTTGGAGATGATTTTATCTGGTTTGGTTTTGTTCGCCTTGCCTAGGAGAGTCGGGGGGCCGGGGGTAGATAAAAATCACAGAATATGGATTCACATACTCAAAAGATTTTAAAAATCCTCTTTCCTGAATTTACAGATGAAAAAACAAGAGCCTAAAGAAGGGAGGCAACTTTTCCAAAGCCACACATTAAACCTGTGGCAGTTAAGAGCCAGAACTGTGGTATCCTGGCCCTCAGCCCCACACCTCTACTGCAATACCTGGGATGTGGGCCCATGGATTGATTTATGGATTTTGACTAACATATCTTCAATTGAGCAATCACTCGGATGATCGATTGAACACTCCTTCACCAAACAAGGCTGGAGGCCTGGGATGGACGCCGGTGGTTTGAGATATGCAGAAGAAATGGGTCCTGCCCTCCGGAACACTCCAGAGGTAAGGTTCACAGACAAATGATGAAATGCTGTCTCATGAAGTACCTGCTTGTGGTCAGAATACTGCTTGCCCAGGCGTTTTCACATCAGTACAAGAGTAGCGTCTCTTTTAGTTCTGTTCAGTTCCACCAGTAGGTACTGAATAAAGGCCTCCTGTGTCCTGGGCGCTGAGACAGGCATGAACTGTTTGTTTATGATAAAGAACAACACGGCCATCAGAATGACTCATTGGGTCGGACTGAGAAGTTCACAGGCCAAAGGACGGAAGGAGAAGAAGGCCCAGGCAGGACGCCTTTCGAGATTTACCAACACATAAATGCTGCCATCTCCCTCTCTTGGAGAAAAAGAAACACGGCTAATATTAATAACCATGCCAGCTTTTGTGTGGCCCTTTGCAGTTCGTGACGTGCTTTTGAGTCCATTATCTCTTCTCATTGTGTGAAGTGGGAGAGCAATGAGGCTGGCATCTTTGGAGAATGAGCAGCCGTGGTTCCCCAAGAAGTCAAGCCTGGTCAGGCGGGTGGGTTATAGGGCAGCAGGCGGGCTGAAGTTATTCTTGCTGAGAATGTCCAGCAGAGGACAATCCCCTGAGTTAATGTCTTCCATGAAACCTTCAGCAAGCCACTCCAGACCAGAAGCTGGGTAGTCTGCACTGGTTTTCCTGCCCAGAACCTCATTTCTCCTTGGATTGAACACTTAGTTGGTGCTGGACATCCTTTCCAGCCCTTGCAGGCCACTCTGCTAAGTGCTGGGCCCTGTCCTTCAGCTGTGGCTGCTGCTAGAGTCTTCCTTCAACAAAGCTGGACTCACACTGGGATGAAGTGGCTGCTACCAGCTGGACTTTGTGAGTTGCCACTGTCTTGAGAGTCCATCTGCTGTGTGTGCCTATTCCTTAGAGACCCTTTAGATAGTTGTAGGGGCTGGGCATGGTGGCTCATACCTGTAATCCCAGCACTTTGGGAGGCTGAGGTGGGTGGATCACTTGAGATCAGGTCAGGAGTTTGAGACCAGCCTGGCCAACATGCTGAAACCCAATCTCTATTAAAAATACAAAAATTAGGTGGCGCGTTCCTGTAATCCCAGCTTCTTGGGAGTCTGAGGGAGGAGAATTGCTTGAACCTGGGAGGCAGAGGTTGCAGTGAGCCGAGATCACACTACTGTACTCCAGCCTAGGTGACAGAGTGAGACCTCATCTCAAAAAAAAAAAAAAAAGACAATTATAGGTTGTAGGGGGGCTCAAATTTAGCAGTTAAATATTGGCATATGCAGAAAAACGTTGCTGTTTTAATCTTCCCGAACTGGTTTGATCTTACTTTCTTGCTGATGGCAGGAAAAATAGCAATGATAACAAAAACACAAATACCACTACCAGCACTACCACCAAAAACTGTCTTTTGCCTTGACAAGGGAAGGTAGCATTCTTTCTTCTAGTTTAAAAGAGCCCTCATGACCCAGTAAATCATAAACCAATGAAAATTCATATTCTTTTTCAGGTCTGTGATTCCTCTCTCAAGCAGGCTGTTCTCCTCCTGCCCCACTTTCCCAAGAGGATGTCTGGGTTCAAGGCGTCTTTCTGTCTCCTGGCTTTGATGGGCTTGCCTGCCTGGGAGCTGTCCTCTGGCTGACCTGCTCACCCCTGCTTGTCCCAGGGCAGCTCTGTCCTCGCTAGCTCCACCACTGAAGTGCCCACTGCTGGGTGGATCCTGTAGTCTGTTTTCTTAGTGCAGGCCCAGCTTGGTGAATGATCTTGGGAGCTTGGCATGAGGGAGCTTCTAGATTCCTATGTCGCACTCCTAGGATAGGAGGACAGTAGGGGGGATGTTGTCTGTGGCCACCCAGACCACTCCCTCGGTCATTTCTAATTTGCCACCCTGTATCGTGGTAGACACCTTGCCCAACAGAAGGTTTTTTTGAGGCCCCTCTGATTTTCCTGGGATATGCAGGGAAGCCAGGCGTAAGCAGCTATGTGCTGGCCTTTCCCTGCAAACCTGTCTGACACTATCAATTTCTTTTCTACCCCCAGAGGTTGCAACCACTGGAGAGAGCCAGAAATTCCTATCTGACCTCTTTCCCTTTCATTTTCTCTCTCCTGGCTCTTCCACTAGCAGTGGAAGGATCTTCTATTTTGTTTTTGGTTAGCTGGGAGCATCTTTATGTCATATTCTGCTTCTAAACTCTGTGACCTTCATCACTGTCCTCCTCCACCTTCTCTGGGCAGCACACTTTTTTATTCTAGTCTGGAAGAAGAGATTCAGGGAAAAGGGAAAAAAACTGGTTGAGTGAAATTACATTTCCAAAGTAATTCCATTTTTTTCCATGTCACTTCTAGAATATCATGGCACTTTATAACATCAGTGTCAATCAGCATTGATTGACAAGCCCCCTGGACTTTGGATGACTTCTCTGAAGCCCCAGCTGTGCCTGGCTGGGCCATCTCCCTTCTCCACTTGGCCACAGCATAAACTGCAGTCAAGCCACAGGAGTGACCTCAAGGCCTCAGGCCACTTTTCCAGCCTCAGCTTTTCTTAGGGGCCCAGCCCACTTACAATAGAAATTTGCCAAAGACTGGGTTGGTAAGTAATGGATAAGTTTTCATATTTACTATTTTCATTTCTGAATCTCTCTTTACATGCAGTTAAGCCAGGAAATCCTGAAAGAACACTCTTCAGAATGTTTTTAAGTAAAACAACAAGTTTCTGTTAATTTAGGGCCAACCCATGAGTAAACAGATAGAGCCTGAGGTATTCTGCACCCTGTAATTTGTGGACTTCTTAGGATCTTTTAAAATAAAGATGAATAGTGGGTGGTAAATGCCAAGACTTTATAAGAATCAGTTCTCCCTGGGAATTGGTTTGGCGGGTTACATTAAAACTTAAACCAGTTTGTCTATGGCCACATTCCTGTGTTTGAAGATTGAATGTGGAGTCAGAACAGAGTTCATCTGGGCCTGTTGAGGGGCTCCTGGTGGGGTCCTAGGGTGGAAAAGATACAGCCACATGGCTTCAGGTCAGATGGGTTTCTGCCTGAGGACAGGAGCCTTTGCTCCTCTCTGTCCCTCCTCCGGGCGCTCCCCTCATTGTTCCACCTGCTGTGTCCCACCCTTCCCTTCTGGGCCCTCCCCACCTTGCTCTCCTTGCTGCCCCAAAATGCACCGCTACCTTCCAGCTTTGGAGCTTTGCTCAGCCCCTTCCTGCTGGCGATGCACCCTCCATCCTCTCTCAGAATCATCCAGGGCCCTCTCAACCCCAGGTCTTCACCCCTCTGGGGCTTGCCTCTGGAATCCTGCAGTGCTGCCTCCCCGCAGGACTCCTGCCTGCCATGCTGGATTCGGAAGCACTTGGCCTTAAGTGCTCGCAGGCTAGTTCTGCTGCTGGCTCTGCTGGGCCCCGTCTTGGCCTCCGTTGTGCTTTGGCTTTCCTGAGATGAGGCCAGGGTGTCCCTCTCTTCCCTGTGCTCCTGCCGTCCACCTTGGGCGTTGGGCCATCATCATGATCAATAACAGACAACTGGGTAATGGATGGCATCTTTCTTTCCCTCCATAAACTAAAACCCAACTGACACTAGTTCTTGTATATCTGAATCACCCTCATCATTGAGAAACGACTGGACAAAGCCAAATCCCTGCTAATTTCTCCTCCCCTAGCTCAGCTTGTGCTGGCAGCCCACACTCCCCCCATCACAGGGTCTCTGTGGCAGAGAGAGAAGGCCAAGTCACCCCGTTCACAAACAGCAGAAGTTAGCATTGTCTTTACCTGTGGAATGGGATTCTTGAGAAGTCTTTTATTTTTTACCCAGGTTTTCTGGTAAAATCATCAAAAAATAGAATCATGTCTCAGAAATACAGCAATATACTATCTTTCTTCAGGGGGTCCTGAGCAAATTCTTTAGTAAATGTTGATTTTCCAGAAAAATAAAACTTGGGAAGTTTTCTGTAGGTTTTGGTGGACAAAACAAGCTTTTTATTAGCAGAGTGATGGTGATGAGGATGACGATGAGGATGATGAGGGCTGAGGGGTCTGCTTTCGAGACTTTTTCTTTTTTCTTTTTCTTTTCTTTTTTTTTTTTTTTGAGATGGAGTCTCGCTCTGCTGCCTAGGCTGGAGTGCAGTGGCGTGATTGCGGCTCACTGCAACCTCTGCCTCCCAGGTTCAAGCAATTCTCCTGCCTCAGCCTCCCAAGTAGCTGGGATTACAGGTGCCTGCCACCACGCCCCGCTAACTTTTGTATTTTTAGTAGAGACGGGGTTTCACCATATTGACCAGGCTGATCTCAAACTCCTGACCTTATGATCCACCTGCCTCGGCCTCCCAAAATGCTAGGATTACAGGTGTGAGCCACCACATCCAGCCTGAAGCTTTTTCTTTGGTACATTATCATTATTCTTTAAAACTGAGAAAATACGGATATACATAAAAAGAGGAATGAAGAAAAATTTAATTAGTTATATAAATTAATAACATTTGACACTGAGTTTCAGTAACAGTGTCTAATATGGAAGGTCTTTGTAAGTATTGAAGGGAGTGAATGAACTCAGAAGAGGATAAGCCATCGGTAATTATCTGCCAGACATTTCCCCCTTCCGTATATATGCACCTATAAATACTTGTTATATTAATATATAAGATACTTTTTTTGAGATAGGGTCTTGCTTTCTCACCCAGACTGGGGTGCGACATATGGATGGAGCTTCTTCCTTTGCCTCTGCAGCTGAGTGTGAATCCAGGTAGCTTAATCTCTCGCCTTCTTAAATAGTCTTGAGAGCATCACTGCAGTCTGCATTGGTGGTTGGTAGTGGTTGTGCCACAACAACATTTCTGCTGCAGTGGTAGCCTGTTGACAGACAATCTAACTGCTGGATCGGAACATTTCTTCCCATGTTGGGGGCTAACTCCCTTGCTGACCCGAGTGTAGCTGCCTGCCCAAGTCTCCTTCTTTCCCAGTTCCTGGACCACACCCGGCTCTTTTTCACCCTGGAGCTCTTGCTCATGCCATTCCTTGCGCCATAAATATCATCCTCCCTCTGACCACATGGCTGGCTCCTTCTTAAGAGTCTCAACTTCCAAGTCACCTCCTTGCTGGGGCTTCCCTGACCACTCATGTGAGCATGTTCTCTGCCCACTTTGAGGTTCCTCATTGCATCTCCTTCTTCCTTTTCCTTGTAGCACTTCACATTTTGGAAGGACTGAGTTGTCCACTTGGTGAGGGCCTGGCTCCTTGGGGGTCATGAGTGCTGTTTTGTGTATCTGTGTGGGCATGCATGGAAACAAAGCCATAACTGACTGGAGAAAACGTGGCTCCATCAAACTCATTAATTTACACACACCAAAAGGCTAGACTCATCTGGGATTTTTTTTCTCCCTCCAAACGGGCAGAACTGGCTTATTGATTTGGTACCTGGGAAGATCGCTTCATAAGCTTCAAAGATCTTCCCAGGTGATCTCCTCCATAACCAAGCCTGCAAATGTCACTCTGATTCTGACAGTCCCTAATTTGCATCTCCAGGAAGGCCTCCTCTCAGCGCTTTAGCCTCTTATATCCAGTGGCCTGCTCGGCAGCTGCATGCGGGTGTTGCACACACGACTTAAGCCAGGTGTGTCTCTAATAGAACTCTGGATCTTTCTCCAAACCCATTCCATTCTTTCCACCTCAGTAGTTGGTGCAGTCTTTTATCTAGTTCCATAAACTAAAATCTGGAAGCTGTCTGTGATGCCTCCCTCTTCTTTAGGTTTTTTTCCTGCCCCATAAGCAATTTCCCAGGTAGTCTGGTTCTTTTTACTTCCACCATATATGTTGAGTCTCCTCACTTCTCTCCAACTTGACCGCCATCCCATAGAGGCATCCCTTCTGGACACACGAAATCCTCCCAGCAGGGTTTCCTGTGTCTTCTTTTGCTTTTCAATTCAGTCTCCACACAACAGTCATTTCAAAACTTAAATCGATTCTCATTACTCTCCTTTCCAAAACTTCTCATTGAATTCCTATTGTACTTGAGTAAAATTCCAGCTCCCTGTCTTGATCCATGAGGCATCCGTGGATCTCTGCGACCCTGTCTTGTGCCTCCTGCCCTTTCCCCACAGTCGAGCCTCGATGCTTTTCCCTGTTCCTGGACCACACTAGGCTCCCTTTCACCCTGGAGCTCTTGCTCATGTGATTCCCTGTGCCATAAATATCATCCTCCCTCTGACTACATGGCTGGCTCCTTCTTAGGGTCTCAACTTCCAAGCTACCTCCTTCCTGGGGCTTCCCTGACCACTCATGTGAGCATGTTCTCTGCCTTCTTTGAGGTTCCTCATCGCAGCTCCCTCTTCCTTTTCCTTGCAGCACTTCACATTTTGGAAATACCAAGTTGTCCGCTTGGTTAGGGCCATGCTCCCTCCTTGGATCCTGTGTTCCAAAGGGCAAGTCTGTATTTGTCTTATCCACCATGATACCCCAAGCGATCGAGACTATCCTGGCCAACATGGTGAAACTCCATCTCTACTAAAAATACAAAAATTAGCTGAGTGTGGTGGCGTGTGCCTATAGTCCCAGCTACTTGGTTGGGAGGCTAAGGCAGGAGAATCGCTTGAACCCGGGAGGCAGAGGTTGCAGTGAGCCAAGGAAGCTCAATATTAAATATTAATGTCCATATGAATAGTGTAAGATTTTATTATGTCTTTACCATTTTTATGATAGACTACCCCAGATCCTCTTTGGAAGCAGGGAAAGCTTCAAACAATTTTTTTAATATCATAAAAATAAAATTATTCATAATTCCAAAAAGTGGAAACAACCCAAATGTCTATCAACTAATGAGGGGAAAAATAACATGTACAGGTTGCAGTGAGCCGAGATTGCACCACTGCACTCTACCCTGGAGACAGAGTGAGACTCCATCTCAAAACAAAACAAAAAACAAAAAAACCCATGTATTTATCACATAATATTTGGCAATAAAAATAAATAGAGTACTGATACATGGACACCATGGAAGAACCTTGAAAACATTCTGCTAAGTGAAAGAAGCCAGTCACAAAACAACATAGATTGTAAGATTCCACTTTATGAAATGTCCAGAATAGGCCAATCCAGAGACAGAGAGTAGATAAGTGGTTGCCTAGGGCTGAGGGGTTTGGAGGGAATGGGAAGCGACTGCTAGTGGATGTTTGGAGGTAATGAAAATGTTCTGAAATGGTGTTGATGGATGTGCAACTTTTTGAATACACTCAAAACCACCGACTTGTATTTTATTCTATTTTATTTTCTGAGACAGAGTTTTGCTTTTGTTGCCCAGTCTGGAGCGCAATGGTGCAATCTCGGTTCACCAAAACCTCCGACTCCATGGTTCAAGCGATTCTCCTGCCTCAGCCTCCCAAGTAGCTGAGATTACAGGCATGTGCCACCACGCCAGGCTAATTTTGTATTTTTAGTAGAGACGGGGTTTCTCCATGCTGGTCAGGCTGCTCTCGAACTCCCGACCTCGGGTGATCTGCCCGCCTCGGCCTCCCAAAGTGCTGGGATTACAAGCGTGAGCCACCATGCCCAGTCGACTTGTATTTTAAATGGGTAAATTCTAATGATATGTGAATTATATTTCAGTGAAACTGTTACAATTAAAATTAATTAATTAATGGAGTTAAGAGCACCCTTGCTCTCTGAAGACAGATAGACTGGCTAAACAGACCAAGGAGATTGGCTTTGTGTCAAATGCCCACTTTGATTAGGGTCCATCCTCCCTCTCTTTCCCCTTCCCTCTCTTCCTCCCTCCCTTAAATGTTTCTCAGCATTCTTCAGGACTCTGGACCAGAGACGGATTAGACTTAGCCTTTATCCTCAAGCAACTAAGTTTAGTTGGGGCAGGACAGGGTGGAACAAAGGGAGGAGCACGGTGAAGACCTCATGGAGCTCCCTGGGTGCAGGCAGAGCCTCCCGGGGATTCTGGTGAAGAACTCTCTGTGTGGAGAAACATCTTTTGTAACAGCAAATACTGTTTTATTTCTTCATTCTTATATGAATTCAATAGACAATTACTGTGCGGGTTGCTGGGGTACAGAGATGCGTAAGAACATGTGTCCCCAAAGAATGGGGTGGAGGGCACAGGAGCCAACCATGGAATCCTAGCAGGGGTGTCAGAGGCTGAAGAAGGTCCAGAGGGGACCGCGCAGGGCAACCGGCCAGGCTTCCTGGGAAGTCAGTGCTGGAAACAGGAGACTGTGCTCGGCTTGGTGAAGCAGCTCCGAGCCTGTGATTTGTCTGTAGACAGCTCGGTTCGGGTGAGCCCCAGGGCTTTCCTGACTGTTACCGGCCTAATCAAGGCAGAAGGCAGCGTGGTGACCTCCCTCCCAGGCGCCAGGATGCAGCTGTGAAGGCCTGGCTGGGAATTGCTTTGAGGCCGGAGGGGGGTCTCCTCCCCCGACACCCGACAGCCCCTCTTCCATGGCCACAGGGGAGTTGCTGAGCAGATCTCCCCTCCCCGGGAGAGGAGGGCAGGCTGCGTGGCCCTGGCAGGAGAGCATGCGGCAGGCGAGCCTCCGGCCGCAGAGATGCCGGGCTCTGTGCGAGACGTTTGCCGCTAGAGGGAGTGCCACGTCGTTCTCCGTCCCCACCACGGACTCCCAGGGCCGCAAACGAGTTTGGGCGGAAGCCAGGGCTTTGGGGCTTCCTGGGAAACTCACTGTCTTTGCCTTTGTCCTCTCCATTTTGAGATTTCTCAGAAGAAGCTGGACCTAAGAATGCTTCGCATAGTTTGGCAGAATTTGCGGAGCCTGTTCCAGCCGCGTGGGTCTGGAATCCGGGATGCGGTCTCTGGCCTGTGCAACCCCTGTTTAACCCGGGGCTGGCCTCTGGAGGGCAGGGAGGCTGGGAGCAGAGAGAAGCACTCAAGGACCTGAGAAATGTAGAAGGTCTTGGATTTGTTTCCCTGTGTGCAGTCCCCTCTGGCCCTCAGAGCTGCAAAGGACAGACCCCTGGGTTCTGGGCAGGGGCTCAGCTCTGGGATTCGTTCAGTGCTTAAAAGGAGGGAAGGGAACTCAGGAATAAGAACGATCAGGCTGGCAGGACATGCAGCTGTTGTCAGAGACCTGGAAACACATGGGCCAGTGGAGCTGATGGGCCCCGTGGGGTGGGTGGGTGGCAGCATCCAACTGGTCAAGAATGGCTCTGCTGTGGCTTCCTCAGCATGGCCCTGTAAAGAGAGCAGAAGATGACTGTGGATGGCCCCAATTTCTGACATGAGAGGCCCTCACTGGCTCAGGTCGGGCTGGCCTCCTGAGGTGACTGGAGGATGGCTGCCACCTTTGGTGTCGGGACTAAGACTGGAAAAGTGGCGGGTCCAGAGAAAAAGCCCAGGCCCACAGCTTCCGCTGACGTGGCAACTATGCTTTTGGACTGCATCCTGGACCTCTTTTGACCAGGCCCTGTGAAGGGTTGCAGGAGGTTCAAGGCCCCTTTATCTCTCTAGCATTGACTCTTGGGTCTGGGCAACAGACCACCCTTTGCAACCTCTGGGCCCAGGCAGCAGGTGTGCAGGTGAGTGCAGCAGGGGCTTGGCAGCCGGTCACAGCTCCCCACCGAAGCTGCGGGAAGCCGGCGGTGCACCATCTGCAGTGGAGCAGGTCAGAGTGGGCCTGCTGAGGCTCCTGTCACTGCTGCGGTTAATGCTGCCGATTACCATGGTTACCCGGAGGCTGGAAGCTCTGACAGTCAAAGGCAGAGCAGGAGAAGGATGTCCTCTCCCTGCTCTGAGCCACATGGCTGCCTCTCAGTCTCCCTGGGTGGGCAGGATTCTTCTGGAAAATAAAAGTGCCTGGACCAGAGACGTTGTCCTGCCGGGGTTCAGCTGATCCAAGCATCATCCATCCCCAAGTGCCGGGGGCCTTCAGGGAACCCTGTTCTGAGCACATTCAGTGGGGAGGCGGGAGGCAGAAGGGGATTCTGGGCCTTGTGTTTGCTTTGCTCAGTCTTGGAAGGATAGAGAAAGGGAAGAGAAGATGCTAGTCTGGGCCTTAGGGAACTCTGAGTCAGAGGAAGGAAGCAGTTCGCGAGCTGGGTGGTGGATTCAGTATCGACTCCTGAGGATCTAGGAATGGCTTTCTGGTCCTGTGCCTACAGTGGCAGCTTGGGGCTGTGACTGTACCCTCTCCAAATAGGGCACTGGCCAGGGAGTCAGGACACCTGCTTTGCCAGTCATTGTGGGCTCCAGCTCCCGCTGGGTCCTGGTTTCTCCATCTGCAAAATGGGGTTAATGATTACTAATCCCCCACCTATTTCAAGTCTGTGGGGAGAATTTTTTAAACGAATAATTTTGTGCATTGAAATGAGCCAGCAGATTTCAAGTCTTTGGAGAAAAGGCCTTATTTATTATTATCATCAACTCATTGAGCAGAAATTCTGTTTATCTCCTTTACTGCCTCTTCGGTGCTGCATGAACTGAGAGCGATATCACCTCTGCAAGATGACGGGGCCCTGCACAGCTGTCCAGACCCCAATGCTGGGGAGTCCCGGGACCTGGAGAGGCCAGGTGGGGCTTCATCTGAGCTCCAAGGGGACATGGGGATCAGAGGGGAAAAAATGGGACAGGTACTTCAGGTGCAAATGCTCCTGCAGAAGTCTGAAGATTCTCAAACAGGGTGCCTAGCCTGGAGGGGAGGAGCTGGGGAGAAGGAAGCGGGGGAGGTGGGCAGAGAGTCTGCCTGGGGGCCAAGGGGCCTGGTTTCGAAGCTTTTTCTTTGGTGCGTTATCATTATTCTTTAAAACTGAGAAAATATGAATATACATAAAAAAGGGAATGAAGAAAAAATTAAATTAGTTATATCAAATTAATAACATTTTGACACTGAGTTTCAGTACAGTTTCTAATATGGAAGGTCTTTATAAGTATTGAAAGGAATGAATGAACTCAGAAGAGGATAAACCGTTGGTAAATATCTGCCAGACATTTCCCCCTTCTGTATATATGCACACATAAATACTTGTTATATTAATATATAAGATACTTTTTTTTTTTGAAATCGGGTCTTGCTTTCTCACCCAAGCTGGAGTGCAGTGGTGCAATCATGGCTCACTGTAACTTCCACCCCCTGGGCTCAAACAGTCATCCTACCTCAGACTCTTAAGTAGCTACAGGTGCACACCACCACTCCTGGATTATTTTTAAAATATTTTTATTAGAGATGAGGCTTTGCCATGTTGCCCAGGCTGGTCTGAAACTCCTGGGTTCAAGCCATTTGCCCACCTTGGCTTCCCAAAGTGCTGGGATTACAGGCGGCCTATATCATGTACTTTTAACGATAGGATTACGCTGCAACAGGCTCTCCTGAATCTGTGGTTTTGATTTCTGAAGTTTCAGTTACTGACTGTCAACCATGGTCTGAAAATAGTTGAGTTCTGTACAATAAGATATTTTGAGAGAGAGGGTGCATTCCCATAATTTTTATTATACTATATTATTGTAAATATCCTATTTCATTATTATTGTTAATCTCTCACTGTGCCTAATTTATAAACTAAACTTTATCATAGGCATGTATGTATAAGAAAAAGCTGTGTGTGCATACGGTTTATTACTATTTGCAGTTTCAGGCATCTACTGGGGCGCTTGGAACGTATGCCCCGCGGATAAGGGGGGTCTGCTGTATACATACTGATTTAAAACTTGTTTCCTCCCCTGAAAAATGTAAAGGAGATGATAAGTTTGAGGTTCTTCCTCCTCAGAAGTTTGGGTTTGACCCCTGAAGTCTGTGTGTCATTCAGATCAGGTCACGAGGTTGAAGGAAGGGGAACAGCATGACGTGAGGCCAAAGGATGAGTCCCTCTGAGGTGCCAGAGTGACACCAGCCGTCCCCCAGGACACAGGGCTCCCCCCACACTGCCCTCTGCAACAGGTGTGCCGCCCCCACACTGCCCTCTGCAGCAGGTGTGCCGCCCCCACACTGCCCTCTGCAGCAGGTGTGCCGCCCCCACACTGCCCTCTGCAGCAGGTGTGCCCCCCCCACACTGCCCTCTGCAGCAGGTGTGCCGCCCCCACACTGCCCTCTGCAGCAGGTGTGCCCCCCCCACACTGCCCTCTGCAGCAGGTGTGCCGCCCCCACACTGCCCTCTGCAGCAGGTGTGCCGCCCCCACACTGCCCTCTGCAGCAGCTGTGCCGCCCTCGGCGCCATTCTTAGTCTTGACTCCCTTTCACTTAGGGTTCTTTTTCTTCAAGGGAGGTCACTCACTGAAAGAAAAGTTCCTGCTGGGAAGGGTGTCTTTGGTCAGCTGAGCTTCTCGAGGGCCTCCCGGTGTCTCCCTTTGTACCCGAGAGAGCCTTCCTCACTGTGTGCTCTCAGCCTCAAGCTGCCCGCAGCCCTTCCTCCCATGCCTCATCTGTGCAGACGTCTCCACCTTTATCTCCAGGGCTCTGAATCCCAAGTCTCCTTGGCCACCAAGCTGCTCTCTGAGGACCGCCTGCTTCCTCACTGGCCCTCTGGTCTCCACGCACCCTCTCCTTATCGCCCATACTTACACAGCAGCCCGTGTTAATGGCAAGAGAGAAGGCGGAGGTGATGCAATCCTGGCACAGTCACAGTCTGCTGAGCAGGTGGTCCCAAACGACATGCTGAAGAGGCCTGGAGACGTAGGACACACAGACCTCGTCCTCCTAGGCTGGGCACGACAAGACCCCAGGGGCGTTTGGCTGCAGGCCTCCTGGCATGGACCCTCTGTCTTCTCCTTCCCTGAGGGTGTGGCCTGCACACCTGTGATGCATTGCCTGTTCCCGGCCATTGGCGGGCTGCCGGGTGAGATGAACTGTTTGATTCTGAAAACCATGGCCACTGAAGTCTCTGCTTTTAAAGTTCTGCTGTCAGACTTTTATACTTTCTCTACGTCGAGGGCTGTTGTTCACCCTCTTATCGTCATGCTTCCTCTTGGCTTGGAGAAAGCCGTGGAGCAAATGCTGTTCCCGTGTTGGGGGCAGGGAGCCTGGAGAGAAGGCTGGCTTGTCACTGACAGGCTGGACCAGGGTCCTACATGGACAAAGAGAAACTCAGTTGGGACAAACGTGAAGTTCTTCAGTGAGGCTGCCCCTCCATAAAGACCTGCAAAGATACACGCACAGGGAATGCTGAAGACGCTGCTCAGGATCCAAGTGACATCGGGCCCTCACCTGCTTCAAGTGCACCCATGGCTTCTGGCACTGAGAATATGCTCTGTGCGTCTTTCACAGCTGACCAGAGCTGCCGATCGACGTCCTCTCCTTGTGCTCCCCTTTCCTGCTGACCACACGCCTGCCAACCTGATTTGCCTTCAGCTTCCTGAACATCTCAGGCTCTTTCTAGCCCTGAGCCTGACCCCTGCCCAGTGAGGGTCCTGAGTGCCCCTCTCCCATGCTCCCTGGTCAGCCTCCTTCCCATGCTTCCAGTCTCAGCTCAGATGTCACCTCTTTGGGGAGTCCTTCCCTGGCCACATTATTTGAAGTAGCTTCGCTTCCTCCCATATCTTCTGATCTTTTTCTTCATAGCAGGTGTTTCAGTTTTCATCTATTTGGTTTCTTTACTTATTTATTATCTGTCTCTCCAAGTATTCTCCATGAGAACCAGGACCATGTCAATGTCATTCAGCACTGTGTCCCCAGCACCCAGTGGGATGCAAGGCATATAAGAAGTGCTCCATGAATGGTGAATTGATGAATAGTTGAGCAACAGGTGTAAGAACGTCTTGGCTCTAGGTGACTTTAAGCTCAACCTGGGTAAGACATATAACCCATCACTCCAGTTGGTGTTCTGGATCTCTGGGCACAGTTCTAGGTTCACAGAATAAGTAGTACATTAAAAAAATGGCACGTGCCTGGAGGACAGTGTGGCTAGAAACCATGGGCTTTGAGGAAAGGCAGCTCAAGGTCTTTCTGTTGGAGAAGGGCAGGCTTGGGGATCCCTAAGAGGTGTCCACAGATATCCAAGGCCTTGCGTGTTGTAGGAGGAGAAGACTCATTTTGTGTGCAGATGGTGGGTGCCTTGAAGGAAGTGATCTTGCCATCACTGGAGCTGGTACTAGAAACTTCTCTTGGGGAGGATGTGAGACTAGATGACATTTAAAGTTACTCTCAGCCTGAAGTGTCTCTGCATCTGAAACTAATTTCGAAATATCCTTGTAGGGCTCTGAAAAGTCGTCTTACCTGGGAGAGATAAAAGAGTGGACAATTCCTCTTTTATAAGACTTATTGTCTCTCTGAAGCAGTTCTGTCTGGGCCCGTAAAGATCCATGTGTGTGTGAGAGAGAGTGTGTGTGAGTGTGCATGTATAGCATTTGGTGGTAGATTAGATTATCATTGAGCAAATGTTCACTTGATGTTACTCCTTCCTTTGCTGATGGCATATATTTGCCCCGCTCACTTTGGGCATGGCTGTGCAACCACTGCATGAAGGTGAGAGGGTGCTGAGGGGTCACGTGTCCATGTTTGTCCTCTGGTGCTCCTGCCCCCACCATAAGATAAGGTAGTTGCAGTTCCAAAATAAAGAGACCCACGGAACAAACTGTGTCCAAGCCCAGCCAAGTTCAGCTAACCCCAGTCAACCTGCAGACCCGTGAGTGAAAAGAAATAATCTGTTGTTGGAAGCCACTGAGATTTGGGGATTATTTGTTACCCAGCATTATCACAGCAAAACCTGACTGATGAGCGTTCATGGAATTCTTTACATGGAACAACTTCAATACTCAGGGCTGCTTGCAGAGGGCCTCTGGTCTGAGGTGCTTGCTCTGTTGCAATGAAGAATCAGGGTTTAGTAAATAGTTATTTTGTTTTCCTCTGGACCCTTTCCATGGCCTCTCCCTGGAGTGTGCAGCTTCTTCCTTTGCAGGACAATTAACCACATTTACAAAACCCACCTCCTCTCTAATGACCCACCTCAACAGACTCTTGGAACTGTCTGTCCCCGACAAGGGTGATTCCTGTTCTGGAAGACATCAGCTTTACGAGGAAGACTGAGAGGATGGAAGAGACTGGAGAGATAGAGGAAACTTGGAAGCTGCAGCAGAGGCGAAGAAAGCCCAGTGGGCAGGGCCCCTTGAAGGAAGGGGGCAGAGAGGCGGCGGATGCTCACGCTGCACGAGGATGTCCTTGCAGACCCCAGCCAAGGTGTTCTGTGATGTCAGGTGAGCAGCTACTTAAGCACCTCTGCCTCTGACTACCCAGCACAGACATGCCAAAAAGTGGCTTTTAAAATGCGTTTGACTCTTATCTCTCTTCCATCACCCTCAGAAATGAAATCTCAAACAATTTAGCAGGGTTTGATGCAGAGAACAGTAAGTAGATCCAGGTTCAGGCAGAAACAGAAGAGAAGGAGTCAAAAGCCCCGGAGAAAAGCATGCACGGGCTTGGAGAGGACAAAATAAAATAGCAGAGACATTTATATGGGTCTTCCCTACCTCTCAGAACAAAACAATTATGAGATAAGAGAGGCATGGATGGGAGGAAATTCTTTCATTTTTCACATTGCAAGCTAGAGAGATCCAATAGCCTGTTTATGAAGAACAATAAAGAAGATACATGAACTCAGTAAAGAGGTTGTTACAAATATATTGGATGGTTTTGAAAGGCCAGGGTTTTCCCCCCGCTTTTGGATAAAGCTGTCCGCTAAGTATTAAAAGATTTTTTTTTTTTTGGTTTTGGTTTTGCTTTTTTTTTTTTCAAAAAGCAATAACTGGCACCAGCAGTTTGTTACAATTGGCAGAAAGAGTTATCACTTTTATTTAGGATTTGGAAATGCAATCAAAGAGGGGCAGATTGGAGCTTGAATTAAATGAAGCTTAAACAGGCAAAAAGAAAAATCTCGGCTGGTCTTTTAAACAAACAAACACAAAAATTACAGTTCCTTGTTGTTAATTTGAAGCTATAAAGAATTTGACACTCACACTTGATTAAATGGTGCCAAGCAGAATGGTTGCTACTTTTTTGTGTGTTAAGTACTGAATGTTCTGATCATTTTTAAAAGTAAAAACTCATTGTTTTTGGAAACTCCAGTAGGACCTGGCCAGGTGGTTTGTGGGAGATCACAGCAAAGTTTCATTTGGTTGGTTTTACGGAAAATTATTTCTTTCCAGGATAATTTAAATAAATGAAAAAGCTGCAGGGATCATTTTTGTTTAGCTACCTGTTTTTCACATTTGCTCTATTTTATAATTCCTGAATGCCAAATTGCCCTCTGAAGTTGTGAAAACATCTCTGCCTGAGTTGCCCTCAAATTATCATTTCAGTTTTGTTGGGATTCATCCTGATATTATCTGGTAAGTTCCAATATCTAGATCACAGCTCTGAGCATCAGGATGGAAGCAAAAAGTTTCCCCCAGAAGACGGAAGAGATGCCCCAAAGTGTTTTCCCTAAATCTCAGGCATTCCTGCATTACCTACAGGCCTGCGGACTCATTCAAGACTCTTACATTCCAACAAGAGCTGCACTCTTGTATTAAAACCCAGAGTGAATTAGAAGTGAAGAGAGGTGCTTCTATGTGCAGGGGCAGCGATCATCAGAAGTGACAGCTGACAGTCTGGTAATCAGAGGCAGAAAAACTGCAAAACAGACACAAACTCACAGGACTCGGCAGTTTGGTTCTACGTAGTAAAAGGGAAAGTACTTGCCAAAATCTCTCTTCAGTCTTGGGGATCCGTGTGATTGAATGTGTGGTTCTTTCCCTGTGTCGCGAGGGAAGGTATAGGGTTCCTCCTTATCCAGGGGTCCACTTCCTTGGGACCCAGGCAGGCACTGAGCCCCATCTGTTCCACCTGCCTGGGGCGTGCCTAACTGGCCATTGCAGATTTTAGCATCACTCTGGACTCCAGAGTATGAGTCCTGAGGCACCTGGAGTGGTTTGTTCTTTGCTGTCTCCTGGTGCCTCCCCCACAGTGAATTGTCCCCTATAAATACATATTGAATGAATAGGCGTTCTCTATAACTTTCACGATAGTATTGAATAGAAATAGTTTGAGGGTTTTTTGTTCATTTGTTGTTTTTCTGAGATGGAGTCTTCCTCTGTCACCCAGGCTGGAGTGCAGTGGCACGATCTCTTGGCTTACTGCAAGCTCCACCTCCCAGGTTCAAGCGATTCTCCTGCCTCAGCCTCAGCTGGGATTACAAGTTCTGGCCACCATGCCTGGCTAATTTTTGTATTTTTAGTAAAGATGGGGTTTCACCATGTTGGCCAGGCTGGTCTTGAACTCCTGACCTCAAGTGATCTGCCCGCCTCGGCCTCCCAAAGTGCTGGGATTACAGATGTGAGCCAGGTTTTTTTTTTTTTTTTTAAATAGCTAAAATGTTCTAAAAGGTGTTAATGTTTGGAGAGAAAACTCTTCAGTTTTGTAAACGCATCTGACTTATCTGCTCAGCACCCCCTTCCTCGCTCTCCAGCCCACCCATCAGCCTTCAGTGTCAAATGGTGCACACAGGAACATACGGTTAAGGGGAAAGATGTGGTAGGAGGTGGCAATGCAAATTGCATCTTATTTTCTCAATGAAACAATGTTACAATAAGGGGTATATTCCCTAGTCATAGCTTTTTTTGAACACCTGATATCTAAGTCCTGAAGTCAATGTTGGCTTGGAGTCAGGTAGACCTGCAATTGAAGTCGGCTCCTTCCAGCTAAGAGCTTTGCAACCTTGGGTAAGTCTTTTAACCTCTGTAGGCCTTAGTGTCCTCAAATAGCGAGAAATACCCACCTTGCAGGGCTGTTGTGAGGATTAAACTCAATAATGTATGTAAAGTGCCTTGCACATTACCTGGCACATAATAAGTGCTCAATAAATTTTAATTCCCTTTCTTCCTTCTCCTTTCTCCAATTCAATCAAGCATTATGATAGATGTGTTTCCTGTGCAGTGTAAAGCTTTTTAAAGTGCATATAAATCAATTAAATAGGGCAATGCTGTAACTGATCACATAACATTTATTTAAGAGATCCTGGGGAGAGGGGGAGAATATTAGAGGCTTGCAGAAACTGCTAGAGAGATGCTAGAAGAGGGCTGTTCAGGCGAAGACTCCTGTGACAGGGCTCCTGCACTCCCTGCTGTAAATTCTATGGGAAAGGGCAGGGTCGGGGGGCTGGGCTGTGTTTTATGATTGGGAATGTGGAAGTGAGAAGAGTGACCCTGAGTGATTCTGGCTGCTGGGCAGGCACTACAGGAAAATGCAGTGATGGGAGGAGTCACTGAAATGGCTGTTCAGCCCGTCTTCCAAGTGCAAGGTTTGTGAACCAATGATCTCCTCAATGAGCATAGAAGAGAAACCAGATGATCCAAATCTACATGTCTCACCACTTACCTGTTGTGAAAAGGGAGGCACATTTGCAGGTACTTTTCCCCTGTCTGGCTGCTTTAGGACCTGAACCTGGAGGGCAGGATCCTTGAGGCTTTATTTGTATAACTGTGGGGAATGCCATTAATATGATGGGGGCAGGGAGTGGGAGTGGGGTGTGCCACAGGCAGAACACAAAGAGATTGAGGTCTGTAAGGAGTGCTCGTTTAGTGGCCAGAGAATAGCCTCAAATGTGATTCAGAGTCTAGGCAATCCTAAACTAAGCCATAGACCCTCTTTTTTCCCTGGGGAAGGACAGGGGGATTCTGTTTGCTCATGCACGATTCCTTGCTTTTAGAGCAGAATTTAGAGAAAGAATTCCTCAAAACAAGCCACCCCATAATGGGAGGTTGTCTCTGCCATTCTTCAAGGTCACGCTCAAGGACTTTCTCTTTGCCAAGCATCCCTGCCTTCTTCCATCCTTGTGCTCTCCCTAGGGATGAGGTGGGAACTGTCATGGGAGGCGAGGACTGTCTCTGTAGTTTTTGAATGTTGTAAGACAATTCTCCAAGGGTTTCTTGGGTTTCTTGCATTTCTGCATGTCTTGTGAGCAGGGACACTGATGATCTTTATTCCAGACTATCTCCTCTGGGATATTTGTACTGCAAACAGCCTTGGAACATAGAGTTGGTGTCTCCTTCTGGGGTAAGCAAGTATTTTTATTGTCCACTATAGTAAAGATAATGTCTCGCTCTAGAGCAAAGGTCAGGTAGGCTTATGCTCATTTTAAAAGGCTTGGATTTTCTGAGTTTGGGGTCCCTCAGGTGTGCAGCAAACCCACTGCATGTGCAGCATTTTCCTGGGCCCCTCCTTATTACCCTCATGGGACTTGGGTAGGCAAGAGGAACTGATGTAGATGTGACAGCCATGCTGCTTGCTGCACTGTGAGTAACAAAGTGCTTTGTTTCTGACCCAGGAGTCTCTTGTCTTTTGCCAGCATCCATGAAACTGTGGCAGGCTAACATGTTAGCTTGCAAGTAGGATAAAATGTAGGACCCTTCACAGCTCTTGTTAGTGAATTCAGCAAAGGAGACTAGTGGGTGTCCTGGGCTGGGGTCAAAGTTATGCCCGCTTGTAGGAGGCCGGTGTTGTACCTGGTAACAAACTGGGCAGCAGCTTTCTCTTAGTGAGGTCTCGTGTGCACTCTCACTCACTCTCTGCCTCCCCTGAACTTCTTCCTGTTGAAATTTTCTGCATCTCTGGGCCTTATGAGAGGACTGGAAGTTTTATCTCTTCACCTTTCCCTGGGGAGGGGATCTCTGGGTTCCATGGCACTCTGCCATCCCCTGCTCTACAAGGAGATGTCTGCATCAGGGCTTCTGGCTCTAACTCCCTCTCCCCTCCCACTTGGTTGCTTCCCACTTCTTCCTCCAGCAGGTGTGGCCTGTGCTTCTTCTCTTCCTTCCAGTCCAGTCCTTGGTGGTCCACTTGCCCTCAAGCCTGGTTCACTTCTCGTTTGGTAATTTTCAGGTTGACTCCCAACCTCAGGAAGGTAAGAATGTTCCAGGGATGGCACTGAGGCCAGACTTGCTGGAGTCCCTTGCCACATGTGAGGCCTGTTCTCAGTCCTCCCTGGGTCTCTTCCTGGCCTGCCTCAGGCTACAGAAACATGAGTGCCCATCTTTAGCATCGTCCAGACTGGGAGCCTCTGCCAGGCAGTGCCTGCCTGCTTGCCCCATGCACTCTTACCTGCACTTTCCCTTCCACAGCCCATCTCCAGCACATAGCCTGGCACACACTGGAGAGGCACAGTGGCTTGGCTGAACAAACGCAATGGGGAGAGATCCATGTCATTCTATACTGGGCAGCAGGCACTTCCGCTTGCTAGTTTCTTATTCCTTATTTCTACCTTACTTTTTTTTTTTTTTTTCTAAATATGCCATGCTATCGCAACTTTCTTAATCTTCTCTTCTGGTTGAAAAATATTTTGTAATATTTGCATTATTCTTACTGGTTCAAACATCCCTAGTCCAAAAATCCAAAATCTGAAATGCTCCAACTATTCCTGTAATCACAATCAAGAAATAAAGTAAGTAGCTTTGACTAAGCATGCCCAGCCATGGACCCAATCATGGTCATGCTGGGTGGAGCTCAGAGCTCTCTTTTTAGGGGAACTGGGTGATAAGGGGGAAGAAAACTTCTGGGCAGAATAAAGTAGGCAGGGCACTTGAATGTAGGTAGATCCCAGAGGGATCATAGTGAATAAAGGAGTTACAAAACAAAAACCACATGCTGACTGACCATGGATCTGAGGAATGAATGGGCTGGTCTGGGCCTTCCTATTTGATGGACACACTGAACTTCTTGCCCCACCCCAGGTTGGCCCCAAGCAGAGCCTCCTTTCGGGTAAGGCCAAGGGGGTTGCCATAGCTATGAGGCTGGATGATGGGAGCTCAAAGGTGGTTTTCCAGGCCCATGATGACTATGGAGCCCCTCTCTCCTTAATATACGTTTTTGCAAATGCTTTGCCTAACCGGACTCCCTGGACTCAGCTTCTCCTGGTTGAATCTTTGACTGAGATGGCACCTGCCATGGAGTTCAGAGTTGCAGTCCCTGCCGTAGAGTTCAGAGGCCAGGGCCTGGTGGCAGAGCTCAGAGGGCGGAGCCACTTGCCATGAAATTCAGAGGCTGTGGCCCATGGTATGCAGCAGCTTTCTGCACCAGGGTTGAGAGAAGCTCATTTAATATTTTCTAGCATTTTCCGAATGGAATGAGTGGTCTGTGGATGCCAGGAGCATGCTCAATGCTCATCTGTCAGTTTGACAACACAACAGAGTATACGTTATTTTTGCTAAAAATAGTCAGTACAAAAGATGAGGCTCCAATGGCAGCACCAATGGAGTCTTAAAATTCCACCAGGCCCCTGGCTCACGCCTGTAATCCCAGCACTTTGGGAGGCCGAGGTGGGTGGATCACGAGGTCAGGAGATCAAGACCATCCTGGCTAACACGGTGAAACCCCGTCTCTACTGAAAAAAAAAAAATTAGCCGGGCATGGTGGCCTGCGTCTGTAGTCCCAGCTACCGGGGAGGCTAAGGCAGGAGAATGGCGTGAACCCAGGAGGCAGAGCTTGCAGTGAGCCAAGATCACGCCACTGCACTCTAGCCTGGGTGACAGAGCGAGACTCCGTCTCAAAAAAAAAAAAAAAATTCCACCAGGCCCCCTTTCCTTGGAGGTGATTGACAAAGGAATTTTATGTTTATGCTTTAATAACCCAGAACACGTCATACACCCCAGCGAGCCTTTGCAGCCCATTCACTTCCCTCAGGCTGTGTCCCAAGGCTTCCTGCCTGGAGTGGTCCATTGAAATATCCTCACTCAGTGGGTCATTTTTAGGACGATGGTAGAGTGCAGGAGTAAGGATGGCTCTTGCTTTAGCACAAAACACCTGGAATCCAGTGGTTTCCAGTTCCAGATTGACCGTAACCATCTCCTGTGCCCGGCAAGGGTAGAAGCAGAGAGGACCCAGACACAGGAAACTGTGTACCTGAGTCTACATTCTGCTCTCTTCATCAGGACCATGGCCATACTAGCTACTATTTATTTTGTTTTGGTATTTATTTATTTATTTTGAATTGACAAATCAGAATTATATATATTTATGGGGTACAATATGATACTATGGTATATGTATTCTTTGTGGAGTGACCAAATCAGGCCAGTTAACATCCATCATCTCACATACTTATTATTCTTTGTTGTAAGAGCATTTAAGATCCCCTCTTTTAGCAATTTTGAAATATGTAACATGTTATCATTGACTGTAGTCACCACACTGTGCAATAGGTCACCAGAACTGATTCCTCCTGTCTAACTGACATGTTTCCTCTTTCCCCATCCACTCTCCCTCTCCACACCAGCCGCTGTAACCACCCTTCTGCTCTCTACTTCTATGAGTTTGACTTTTGTCTAGATTTCACATATGTCTTAGTCTATTCAGTGCTGCTGTAACAAAATACCTGAGATGGGATTTGATAAAGAACAGAAATTTATTTCTCATCGTTCTAGAGGCTGGGAAGTCCGAGATCAAGGTACTATCAGTTTTGTTGTCTGGCAAGGGCTGCTGTCTGCTTCCAAGATGACACCTTCTTGCTCCAGAGGGGAGGAACCCTGTGTCCTCCTCACATGGTGGAAGGCAGAAGGGCAAGCTGGTGGAACCCTGAATGAGGCCCATTTTATAAGGGCCATATAATCCCTTTCACAAGGGAAGAGCCCTCACGGCCCAATTGCCTCTGAAAGGCCTCACCTCTTAATACTATTACGTTGGCAACATCTGAATTTTGGAGGGGGTCACATTGAAACCATAGCAACATATGCATGAGATCATGTGGTGTTTGTCTTTTTGTGCCTGGCTTATTTCACTTAACATGATGTTCCACAGATTTGTCCATGTTGTTGCAAATGACAGCATTTCTTTCTTTTTAAAGGCCAAATAGTATTCTATTGTGTATGTATGTATCACATTAAAAAAAAATCCATTCACCCATTGATGGGCACTTAGGTTGTTTCCATACCTTGGCTACTGTGAAGAGTGCTGGAATAAATGTGGGAGGGCAGATATCTATTCAACACACTGATTTCAATGCTTTTGGATACATACCTAGAAGTGGGATTGCTGGATCATATGGTCATTCTGTTTTTAGATCATTTGAGGAGCCTCTATACTGTTTTCCAAAATGGCTATACTAATTTACATTCCCACCAACAGTGTGCAAGGGCTCTCTTTTCTCCACATCCTCGCCAGCACTTGTTATCTTTCATCCTTTTGATGATATAGCTGCCCTTAATGGAGGCCTTACTAGATGCCAGTCCCATGCTGAGGGCTTTAACTGAATGATCTCATGTGGTTCTCACACCAATCCTAAGAAGTAGCTACTGCTCACATCAGAGGAAACTGAGGCTTCTAGAGGACTCAGAGGGGAATTCGTCACTCCAGCATGCATATGGAGGTTGGGGGGAAGAGGTCTGATTCTGTGAACCGTGGGCTTGATGCAGATTTTTTTCATAGCCTCAAAGTTGGGAGCAAGAGAAGATGGTGAGAAGGGTTTCAACGGGGGAGAGAGGCTGATTCAGGGTGGAAAACGGAAGATTTCCAAATGATTCTTACACATTTTTTGAAAGGCTGATGAAAGCATTTGCTTTTAAATTTAGCCACACCATCCCCAAATCCCTGCAGTGTGTTTCCAATGCAGAAAGTGGGACAGCAGAACACCAGCTTCTTTCAGTTGATGTGTGAGAAGACCAGCTCAGGCAAGCTGCTTCAGCTCCAAAACACAGAGCGGCACGCAGTAGGTGTTTAATTATTTGTGGAATTAATCTGAGCTCCTACTTAGGGATGTACACCTGCCAGTGTGTGTGTATGTATCTGAAAAAGTCGATATCTCTCCCTCTGTCTGAGTCATGGCCTGGCATCCACAATATCTCTTATGCCCCTTTCAGATAGGCATTTGTGATCTGGGATCAGCAGGGGATGGAGAGGTTGGGGTGGGGTGGCTTTTGCTTTTGTAAGGGACCTGTCTGATTTGCTTAGGGGCCATGACCATAGATCTGAGGCCCCTAGGTGCAGAGGAACAGGCCAGGAGTTTGGGGCTGGGCTACGTTGGCTAGAGATTTGCTGATACTCCGAGCATCTGCAGCTCAGGGTCTCAAGGAAACCAAACCTTCAGTTTGTTCTTAACAGTGTTTTTGGACAAAAAAGGTGGAAGAGGGGCCACTTTGCTGGCCATGGGGAAAATCCAATTTTCATTTTTCCTCCTCATCTCCAGGAGTGAGCTTGTGTGAGAGAGCAGGCAGGCCAGGCTAACTCGTTCAGAGGCCAGATCTCCTGCCTTTGCCCTGGGTTTGTCTGACGGTCACAGATCATGGCCTGATTGGCACTGATCTTCCCCCAGGCTCTTGGTGCATGCCACTGTCTTCCCTCTGCTTCCCCGGAGAACTGATGGCTCTGGTTCAGTCACTCCCTCACTTGAAGGATGCTTACTGTGTACATGGCCCTAGGCTGTTTGGGCTGTGGGGATTCAGAGATGAAAGAGGCACCATCTCATCAGTTGCCACCCCTGCCTGATACCAGAGAAAGTCCCAGTCCCAGCCCCTGGTTAGGTGGGCATGCTTGTCTTAGAGACTTTAGTGGCATCACACTCAATTCAGGAAACATTGATACCCTAGGGCATCCTGACAGTGCTCCATTGTCCAGAGTCCCGCTAGGGCAGAGGTTCAAGGTCTCTGCTGGGGCTTCAGCCAGGAGCAGATAATTGCAGAGACTCTTGCTACCCAAAGCAGTATCAGCATCACCAGGGAGCTGGTTAGAAATGCAGGATCTTAGCCCCCAACCCAGGCCTACTGAATCGGAATCTGCATTTTCACAAGATCTCAGGTGATTTGGATACACATGGAATTTTCCAAACCCTGGCATAGGCCCTTTTCCCAGGCATGAGGTTCAGGGCTCCCACAACCACTCCGTAGCTCATGGCCATTACTACCCTTTTAGGGGGTACTCTTGTTCTTGTTGAGGCCTGTAGGTGACAGACTCAGGCCTTCAGGCTCTTCTCATAGTACTGGGGCCAGGTATTGATCCCTCAGTGTCTGTCTTTGCTGAGTTTGGCTCATGTGAAATGGAATTCTAGTCTCCTCTTTGGACTTCCACACTCGCCTATTTTCAGAAAGACTTCCAAGGCTTCTGTGCCTATCAGATCATGCCTGAAGAAGTATAGCTCAGCCTTTCCCTTGTACGTACACACACACACACACACACACACACACACACACACACACAGAAAGAGAGAGAGAGAAGAGGGAAAGCCTTTAAAAGAGAGATGGCTTCATGGATTTTTAACCAGAATCTGTGGTTGCGCTTGTTGAGGAGTTCGTGAAACACTGAATTAATATTCAGAATACTTGTTTATGTGCATTTTCCCAGTATGAGAGAAGGTCTGTGACTTTTCTAGCTTCTCAAAGGAGTCTATGACCTAAAAAAGCCACAGAATCCTTGGTCTCGGTCCAAGTCCACTCCCTGGGATTTATTTAACACCTTGCTGTTTGAAGACAAATCAGGAACTAACTGAAGGGTTCTTTCTGAAAACAACGTCTGTGCTGCCAGTTAGGCATGACTTTTCTTTCCTTCCTCTAAATTTCTCTTTGTTCTTCCTATTATCTCTATCAAGGGCTATTTTCAGGGCTGATTAGAAACGAAGAGTGGGTCTGGCAGCACAGTGACAGGAGGGAATGTTTGCCGGAAAAAGCATGGGCTCTTGTTGAGAGCAAAGACAATTAGCCCTCAGAATTGGCCCATATTCCTTCCCTTCCTTCTTTTTATAAGTGAAGCCATTTTCTAGAAAATGGCAAAGAGCAGATTCGAGCCTGCAATTTTGTTGTCTCTGCCCGGATGGATGTTCTGGGACAGGAGCCATGTCACCGAGCCCCAGACTGTGCCGGGCATCCTGGTCCCAGGGTGGGAGTCTCTATTCATCCTTCAGGGGTTTGCTGTGCTGTGGGTGGGGGGCACATCTGGGGTCAGTCTGTCCCCTGTAGCTGTGAGGCCAGCCCCACTGCGTAGAAGTGAGCCCATTATTCTCAACACTGTTTGCCCTCACCCCCTGAGCACCTTTAAACCACGCGGCTGCAGAAAGGACACCCTTGACACTGACATTGCAGCCAGAAGCACTTCCGATGACCCCCCGCCTGGTTCTTGCTTCCTAGTTTCTGATCCTATGCTGACTTGACCTCTTGTTTCTGGATGCAGTTGGTGGCCTCTTGGTCTTGAAGGTAGAAATTGAGTTCTTTACTTTTGAACTGTGGCTCTTTCGAGATCTGGCCCTCTTTTCTCCCCACCTCTCTCTCCCCTTTAAATCTTCCCAGCTTCTTCAAGTAATCAGTTTTCTTAACCCAACCCCTGCACCTCACTAGGCCTTGCCCATTGCAAGGGGAGATTTGGGCAACCGAAAGTCCTCACCTCAGCCAATCAGCTTTACTTACTACCCCCAGACACACCTGTGATCCCTACCTCTGCATCTTTGCCAACACATTTGCCACCTTCCTGACCTTTCTAATTAATCAAAGTATGTCCTTTCGAATCCCACTTCCCTAATAATTATAGCACCTTTCCTCTGGAATGGATTCGTTAAACCTCCTTTCAGGTTTGGGATCTTCTTTCAGTTGCCAGAGACCTTCCAGCCTCTTAACCTCTCATTTACTCAACACACAGACTATTCCATTGTTGGGAAACCTGAGCCATTAGAAATGTCTTCTTTATGTCGTGCTAAAATCTGCCTGTGAGTCTCCTCTCCCCTGGTATGCACCCTCTGGGATTGCACAGTGGGTGGGAACACAGGCTTCAGAATCAATCGAGTGGAGTTTAAATTTCAACTCTCATTTAATGGCTGTGTGACCTCAGGAAAATCACTTAACCTCTCTAAGCATGAGTTTTCTTGTTGCGAAATGGGGCTGATAATAATACTTATTTCAGAAAGTCATTGTGACGATCAACGATTTTTGAAGCACAGAGTGGGCGTGCGTTTGGGAATAGTAGCTCTTGTTATAATTTTACTTTCTGTCTCCTTTAAACTTCTCATTTGGCCTTAAATTGCTCTTAGTTCATCTTGTGTTTCAGGTGTGTCTGGTCCACTCAGTAAGACTAGGCTCTTGAAGGGAAAGGCAACAACTTCATCTCTATCTCTACCTCATTATCCTTAGGAGGGCCGGGTGCACCATACATACTCATCAGTGGGTGATTGATTCAAACCTATGAGAAAACACTTGCCACATAAGTAGCTGAATTAAAGCAACTTTGCAAATAGTTCAGATTCAGCATTGATTTGCCAAGCCTGGTGGGCCTGTAGTGAACGGGACAGTAATTATTCCGCAAGCTGCCTCTTCTCTCCCTCATGGCCTTTGAAAGGCACAAAAGCAGGACTCAGTCCCCTGAGAGGTGGGAGACATGCCCAGAGCTCTCCTGGAAAGCTGGGGATCCATCTGCAAGTCAGCCCAGCCACAGGTGTTGGTGCTGCCCATCTGAGAGGCAAGGAGAGGACTTGGAGATGCAGCTGGGCCCTTCTGGGATCAGTATGGGAGGTCCAGGAGGCGATGTTGGTGTGGGACATTACTCACAGCACATCATGAGGCCACCTAGACTTTCATCAAAAGCAAGGGCAGGGAGCCAATGGCACATGGCCTGATGAAAGCCAGTGGTCGCTGGGACCTGCTTCCCGGCTCCTGTTACACAGCACTGTGCTCACTGTGGGGTCTCTCAAAGGTTTCTTCTGGGGCTGCTGAGACACCCAGAAAACCGGACTCCAGGGAGAGGTTGCCAGGAGCACCGTTCCTGCCCCTGAGGTCTCTGGCTGCCTGCCTTCCTCAGGTCCTGGGCTGGTTCTAACATTCACGATGCCTGCGCAATCTTCCACCTCTGAGGCTTATGTGCGGCTGAACTCCTGGGAGTGACCACCCTGAGAGGAGGCTGGGGTTTTATTTCCATGGGATCGAGCCAGGCTGTGGGAAAGAAGAAAGTGTGAGGAATAAGGACCGACGGCTTTAACGAAGAAAACAGATCTTTCATAGTTGAGGTGCCACCCAGGCCTCCTGCAGTGAGTGGGTTTGTATTCAACGCAAACATTTTATTTATTTATTTATTTATTGCAAAGGAAATTGGATCAGGAGGACATTAAAGGTGGCAGAGCGAAATGCATCAAGCAGAACTCACAGCAAGGCACAACCTTGAGCAAGCCCTGCTGACAGACCGAGGAGAAGAGCAACTAATTAGAATGGGGCTCTCCCGGGGTGCCTGGATGCGATTTCTCGACTCCTTGCCTCACAGGACCGCCTCAAGTGAACAGAGAAACAAAACTCAAATGGGGCAATCATCCCGGGGAACCAGCATGTTCACCGGCCCCACCTGTGATGTGCCTGGTGGGGAAGGGAACGCTCCCTTTTGCACGGATACTTGAGCATGGCCCCTGTGGTGGGGTACCTGGGGAAAGGTCTTTCTGCTCACAAAGTAAATGGACACAGGGCAAGAGGGCAGGAATCTGAGCTAGGCGGGATCCTGAGCCCAGCCGTGTTCTCTCCTCAGAGCCTGGGGTGTCTCCTCAGCCCTGACAGCTCACCTCGTGTCAAGAGAAGCTTGTTGAGATGGAGCATGCTGGAGAAGCCCCCCAAGACCAGGCTTGAAACAAGGGGAGATTGTTTTTGGGGACTCTGGAAGACTAGGCATTGCACGGACCCATGCTAGACAGATCGGGGAAGGGCTGGAGGAAAGTGTCCCTGGGGTCTTGGAGAGAGGATTCTCACCAGGAGGGGAGGGTGGGGGTGACGGCAGAGCGTGCAGGTCCTCCCTTCCCTCTCCTCACTCACCAGCCATCCGAATGGAGACGACCCCAAGGACTTCACCTTCCAAGGTAGGTGGCAGGAAGGAAGGATGCTGGGGGTCTGAGATGCTGTTTGAGGGGGGCCACTCAGGAGACAATGGATCATTGCACAAGGATAGCTGAGAACTAAATGTTTGTTGTGTTAAGCCACCGGGATTTGGGGTTGTTTGTTACAATAGTTACGGTACCCTGCCTAATACAGGGCTGACATCTGCTTCTGACTTCACGGTGTTAACCCTGCCTGTGGACATAGCTCATTCCTTCAACAAACACTTGTTGAGCACCAATTGTATGCTGAGCAGGCAGTGGGCAGCCTGGAGAGCTAAGGAGACAGTGATGGAGAGCACGTTAGAGAACAAGGATGGGGATGCCACCCCATCGAGTTGGGCGAGCACACACTGGGCGCAGATTAGAAGAAAGAGACGTTGACCTCACTTTGTTCAGCTCCAGGCCTGTATCCGTCAGCAGCGGAGAATAAGGGCTGGGCAGGGTGATTAGTCTGGCCATCAGACTTCAAAATTTATAGGGGGCACTTAGACTATGTCACATCCCATTCCCAGCAGGTCACTCTGGCATGTAGGATCCTGGATCACTCTGAGAGGTCACTGGAAAAGAACGAGAACAGCTTTCCCCATTTCTTAGGTGATGAATACACCTCTTTCACCTCTTGCCTTCTATTTGAGTAAGAGGGAAATGTGCATTTAGGAAATAAATGATGTTGTATTTCAGTGTGCTGAAGTGGGACGTGAAGACAGGCAAGGAAAGTGCTTCCAGCGGTCAGTCAGCCAGGTGCTCTGCTCAGAGGCAGAGCTGGCAGGAGCCTGGGAGGTGCTGGCACACGTCTTTCCCGCCCCAAAGCCACCCACTGGCTTCTCTCACGGCCACCCTGGAGGTTACAGCACATGCATCTTTAATTTTTTCAATTAACAACAATATAGAACAAATGGAGTGGTTTTAATTATTTATAATTCATTTTGGAATAAAGTCTTTGTAAACTAAAGAAAGGGAAGAGCTAGCCTACCTGTTCTTAAAACAAAAAAGGGAGAGCAATGAAAGCGAGAAAATGTATCACTGAACTGAATTTTCTAAAGCTTTCCCTTTGGTCTGTGCAGTTAAAGGCAAGCAAGAGAAATGGGAAAACTGCCTCCTCTGCTGGCGGGTCAGAGGCTGCATTTACCCCCATCTTGGCTGGGGTTCTGAGGCGCTGTGTGACCTACAGCTTATCGCTGTCTCCAACTGTGTCCACAGGAGCTGTCCCTGCCAAAAGTCCTGAAATTCCCAGGGTCAAGACAGATCCTACATATTGACAAGTATTGACAGAGTGCCTTCAGGGTGTCACAAGCCGGGTACTAAGGGGACAGTGAGAGGACCCTTGCCCATGCAGAGCTCAGGAGAGTGTCACCCAGTAAACGTGCATTTATATATACATACACATCTACACATCTAAGTGCACACACAGAATAGTCAAGAATCCTAGGTTGGGTGGTGCAACTAGGGCATCTTTGGGGTCTAGATTTTATAGTTTAAGGGTCCAGGTTCAGAGAATAGGCAGGCAGGGTGGAAACAGGAGTCAGAAAGGATTGCTCCTGAAGTCAGCCTTGCAAAATAGGGAAGCTTTAAACAAATGCAGAAAAGAAGGGAATATGTTATAGATGAAGGAGCTGCAGGGGCAGAAGTGTGGAGTTAGAAGGCAATGAGACTGGCCCCGAGGGTCCACGGCAGGGGGTGTGGCTCTGTGTTGGGATCTTGGCTCCCATTTCCCCCTCAGACTTCCCTGCCCTTGCACTGGTTAGACCAGCATCATTTCTGGCGTGGTCTCCCTGCTTCCATCAACCTCTGGGGAACTCTTCGAGGCATCTCTTCAGAGGCATCCTTCCTTTGCCTCATCTCTTGAATGACTCCCCATCATTTCCAGGGTTAAGTCCAACCCTTCTGCTTTTCGTCTCTGCTCTCTCCTGCCCATCGCTACTACAGTCACGAGCCAGGCTGGGCTCCCAGTTACAATCCTTCTATCCTTTGCCATTACACATGCACTTCCTTCAGTATAGGCAGGGGAGCAGACAAAGACAGGGTCACAGGGAACAGGATCCACAGCTGAGGTTGTTGACTCCACATTCTAAAGATGGAGTTTGCCAACAATGGGGATTGGGCCTGTCCCTTAAGGAAGACCAAACCCTGACCCTGACAATCAGCCACCCCACCCGTCCTCGCCGCCAGCTTCCCTTTCCATTAAAGAGATGAGTAGGGGAGAGGGGCTCTTGTTCAAGTTGACAGGAGTGCCTGGTTAGTGGCAAGAGGCTTCTCTTCTGCTGCCCACTCCCTCTTGAAAGCCGAGCACGGAGGTTCTCCAGAGGGTTGCTTGTGGGGGGCTGGTGCTGACATCTTGGTCCTCAGTGCTCAAGATTGCAGAGGGCAGCAAGAGAGATATTGGGCGAACTTAACCCACGACCTTGGAGTTTCAGGGCCTATCTGACCATAGGGCAGTTCCTGCTTCTCCCCTGGAGATCTCTAAATTCAGAGCGGTTCTGGGAAGGACCTGGTGAATGCTCTGGAGGAGGAGGATGAGAGCAGAGGGCTGTTCCCATTAGGTCTTCTGAGGACTGGTTAAAAAAGGGGGTGTCAATGGCTTGCATGGCTCCCAGGGAAGGATGCAGGGGCCATGGGGTTGCCGAGGTGGCCGCTGCAGTGGCTCAGTGATGTCCTCTGAGGGGAGTTGGGGTGTAGACCGCTGATGGGACAAAGGGAGCTGTCTTTAGCAATGGGGGGATCTGTGGGGACTCTGGACATAGCACCACCTACCCATCGACACATAGCAGCCACAACCACTGGCCAGTGAAACCAGAGGGAGGCAGGCAAAACCAGGGATGCCTCCCCAGCACCACAGGTGATCAATCATGGAGGAGGACACCTGCCACCTCCTTAACTTCTGCTCCCAGAAGACAGAGTGGGAGGATGAGTGAGACAGAGACCCCACACCCTCTCCTCTGAGCTCCAGCAGCCACCAGCCCATCTGGTGGGGTGGGGGGATTAAATCAGATGTGGGCCTGTGGGCTGTGCCAGACTTGCCATCACTGAGAGTGACCAGAGAGCAATGGGTTCTGCTCACTAAGTGACAGGGAAGGGTTTTGATGGTGCATGGTTGAAATCAGGGATTGGGAAAAAATAAGTCACTTTCAAGATCATATATCACTGAATTGAGATTGCTTTAATAAACTGTGTCTGAACCAGTGGAAATGCCCCAGTGTATCCACACCAGTTCACAGCGGCCATCTGTTTGGATTGGTTAGTGCTGGATCAGTTGTTAAATATTCTGACTGTCACTCCCATAGACAGGTATAATTACCATGGCAGGAAACATTCACCAGGACAGTGAAAATAGAAACAACCACAAGTATAATCAAACAATCACCATTCCAGGAACAGGCAGTAATTATGCACAGACATAGCTGTGGACCTGGGAAATCACAGGATGGGTCACAGATACAGTCAGTCTTGGACAGCTCTAGGCTCAGAACACAGGCTCAGAGGCAAAGGCTCCAACCCAATGACGAGAAGCAGAGGAGCAGGGGCAGGTGCACCCTCTGGCAGGCCCCACAGTCACAGAAGAATGGCACAAAGCAGGCGCTGAACACCGCCACACACAGGCACACACAGTCTCAGTCACAAACCAAACCACCCTAGAGCTTTCTTGCTGATGCTTTTGGAAGATGGTATTTCAGAGGGATGAAGCTTTTTATATTCTGGAGAATAACAAAAGAAACCCAATGCTTTAAGTTCTGCCTCTTGTTCCCAGCTCCCTGGCTTGCTCTGCTTCCTGGGATGCTGGCATGTTTCCTCCGACAGGTATGGGATGGAAATTGCAGGGAATCTAGTTCATGGTGCATTAGGTGCTCTGTAGAGGGGTAGGAGGCCTGAGATAAGATGTGGGGAGGGTTTCTCCCAGGCGGCATCTTTGGTTATCATCACTGTCGAGTGCTCACGGATGTGTGAGCAGGCACCTGGTGAGTGGGTAATGGAGAGCTCTCAGACAGCAGCCACCATGCTAAAGTGGCTTCTCTACGGAGGCTGTGTATGGGCTTTGCCCTGCCTGGAGACAGTATCCTGAAGTGGTATCAGGGCTCACCCAAGCCACAGGTTTGTCAATAGCAGTATGTGGAGGAATGCTTTCAATGAAGGTATTGGTAGAGATTAGTTGAGAAGTGTGCAGTGAGAAAGAACTATAAGTGATTACCAAACAGGAAATATTAGCATGATTAATATAGCAAATGATAATGTACTAGGTCCTGCTACTCATTTCTTCTTCTTCTTTTTTTTTTTTTTCTTGAGACAGAGTCTCACACTGTAGCCCAGGCTAGAGTGCAGTGGCATGATCTCGGCTCACTGCTACCTCTGCCTCCTGGGTTCAAGAGATTCTTCTGCCTCAGCCTCCTAAGTAGCTGGGACTACAGGTACATGCCAGCATGCCTGGCTAATTTTTGTATTTTTAGTAGAGACGGGGTTTCACCATGTTTGTCCAGCTGGTCTCTTAACACCTGACCTCAAATGATCCACCTACCTCGGCCTCCCAAAGTGCTGGGATTACAGGCGTGAGCCACCATGCCCAGTCCTTGCTACTCATTTCTAATTCCTTCTCACTTAAATAAAAATCTCTGCTGGTTCAGTTAAGATTCATGATTTCTCTTGTGCAGTCGTCATCCGCTCAGCTCTGGATTTTAGCATTTTGACCCAGGGAAAATTCTCTGTCCCTGAATCTATGCTTGCTCAGAGGTCTTTTTGGTACCAAATCTTTGTCATTATATTGCCAAGAAGCTTGGCATCCCTGGAGTCCTCTCCGCACATAGCCGTGATCTGTCCTCTTTGGTACTGGACTTCTCTGCTGGTTGGTGTGATATGGCAAAGCTCTGTGTTCACAGGATGAACACCTGCACATAAGTAAGCTGCTGATTGAAGTCCAAGCTTACAATATATTCATCCTTCACCAGACATGGCCCTCAGAGCAATTCTTGTGTACACCATGAATATGTACATTAGCGTGAAACACTCAAACGTGTCTGGTTCAACCATTTCCCTTCCAGTAACTCCTGACTCGTCTGTGGGTCTGTGACCTCAGTGTCTCAGAACCTTTGTTATTATGCACCCTGAGGTCATGGCCATAACTTGCACTGGAATCCAGGAAAGGAATGGGGACTTCTGATTTTGGTACATTGGCCAGTTCCTTGATTTTCTAGGGATTCCCAGAGGACACTTCTTTGTCTCTCCGAACTGGTTCTGTAAGTTTAAACTATGCCCTTTGAACCCAGAGTTATTCTAGGGAACCAGAGAAACATTTATTCAGGACAGGTTCTGAATGTTGGGGAGCTGGTGAGTACCCCAGGGTTGGGAGCTGCTACTGAGGGTGCACCTGGGCTTTGTGAATTTTTTTTTCAGGCATTTAAGTTTCCTCCTAGAGAGAAGAAAGGGCAGAGATTCCCAAAGCCTGCCCCTATTACCTGTGAGCCATGCCTGTGCATTGCAGCATGACTGGTAGGTGTACCTGGGATAACAAAAACTTTGAATAACAAAACCTGAAGCCCCTAGGTTACCTGCCCTCTGTTTTGGCACCTTCCTCTGTCCCCTTGTGTCTGGCATAGAGTAAGGTAAGTGAGGCAAGGGAGAAACTCACCAATGCTCAGAGATTGTGGTTTTCAGCTGAATCTCTTGTTATGATCTCAATCTCTTTCTTTTCTTGGCTTCCAAGATGCTCCCTTGAGAGGTGCCTCAGACTCTGCAACATTATTTATTATATTGATCACCCATAACATCCCCCAAAGGCTCAATGTAGAGGGAAGTGACTGGTCCTAATGGCCCATTTAGGTTTATTTTCTTCTGGCTCCTGATGTAATGTTTCTGCCTCTGGCTTTGCAGCAAAGGGAAGGAATCTGGTGTGGGGAATCTGGAGCTGAGTTGTGGCCCTAGCTGTGTCACCGGTTGACCAGGTGACCTTGGGTGAGATTTTCCTCTTTTTGATCTTGGTCTCCTATTTATCTTTTCTCCTTCCTTCCTACCTTCCTTCCTTCCTTCCTTCCTTCCTTCCTTCCTTCCTTCCTTCCTTCCTTCCCTTCTTCCCTCCCTCCCTCCCTCCTTCCTTCCTTCCTTCCCTTCTTCCCTCCCTCCCTCCTTCCTTCCTTCCTTTTTCTTTATCTCTGACTTCCTTTCTTTCTTTCTTTCTTTCTTTCTCCCCCCCGCTTTTTTTTTCAAGAAAGGGTCTCCACTCTGTCCCCCAGGCTGGAGTGTGGTGGTGGTGTGATCATGGCTCACTGCCACCTTGATCTCCCAGACTTAGGTGATCCTCTAATCTTAGCCTCCCGTATAGCTGAGGGGCATTTCTAAAAACAATAAAGAACATTGAGTCTTGTAGCAGTGAACTAAAAACATTATGTAGATTATCTCCTTGATATCTGCCAACAAACCTATGAAGTAGGTGCTATTATGATCCCATTTTGCAGGTGAGGAAACTGAGGCTCAGAGAGATTATGTGACTTGCCCGAGTTCTTACAAATGGGAAGGGGTAGGCTGAGTTTGAACTTAAGATGTATGAGCTCAGAGCCAACACACAGAAGCCTCCACTCGCCTTAGGGCTCAGCTACTCCTTGGAAGCCCTGACAATCTGGTGAGAGAGAGAGGCACTTGCTGGCAATCCCGACGCCATCACAGCAGCCCCTGGTCTTTGCGTCAGGTATATGAGTATTGCTAAGGCCCATCCCCTCTTGAATCCTGTGATTAAAGGACTCCAGCTGGGCCTTACCATGGGCCACCTGGAATTCAGAATCCATTTATATTCATATTACACTTGCATTCATATTCCTTTACTAACTACAATATTTATGTGTGTAAATGTATTTTTATTATTTGATAAGACTGTTTCCCCCTCATTGGGCATCGTGCTTCCCTACCTTTTCTGTGCTAGCCTGCCCTGTGGGGGCTGCCACCTCCAACCAGTCCCCAGAGAGCCTGGCCGGAGCTGGAAGTTAATTCTGTTTGTAATGGTGGCCACTTGAGGCTTTTAAGCATGGCAGTGACATAATGAGATGGGTATTTATGGAAGATCACTCTGGAGGCACGGAGGAAGAAGGCTGGAGTAGGGAGAATGACTGTAGGGAGGAGGCGGGAGACATAGTCGGGATTAGTTTCGGTGGTAGAACCGCGCAGATTTCAGGCATCCTTCAGCAGAGACTTACTGGCTGTCATGTGCTCAGCCCTGTGCCAGACCCTGCTCATCGGGTGAGGATGCCACTTTCCTTTGGATTCTGGGAGCCTGTGGTTTTTCTTCCCGGCCCTCTCTTTCCCTGTCTCCCACCCCATTTGTTGGCTTAAAAATCCCAAGCCCAATCCAGGTGCGCCAGGCTTGGGACCATGTTTGTGTTGGGAGATCTGGCACTCCGCGTGTTTGCCTTTTCACTTCATCGCACCGTGGTATTAGTGCCTCTTGAATTCGGTACGCATGTTTATCCAAATAAGGGTGGCCTCTCAAACTGAAAGAGAATCCTGAGAACGCCTGGTGACTGGTGGCCACCTCGACTGTCCCAGATCTGGGTCCCAGTGCCCTGTGGGGAGCAGGCTTTGTCCTGGGTCCCTGGAGACCAGGGGGTGGGGCCAAGGGCTGCCAGGTGCGCTCTAATGATTGTTTTCATGGAAGGATTTTGGACTCCCAGCTATACAATTTTCATCCTTTTTGCAAAATGGATGATAATTTGGGTCTGTCTTGACTGCCGGTTTTGCATTGCTAATATTGGTGGAAGGAGGGTTTTGCCCAAGTTCTCTTAAAATATGAGAATTTCAGTCCAAAATATGTGAATTTTTAATTGCAATCCTGGCAGCCCTGGGTGGGTTTTGTGTGTAGCATCTGTTCCTTCCTCCCTGTTCCTCTGCAGTCTCTGCTTTGCATCCATTTTCCTTTCAAGCCTTTTCCTGGGCTAGGGCTGCCCCCTTTTTTTCTTCCCCCTCCTTGTGCTGAACATCCCCCAGCAGCCCCGACCCAGCTCTGCCTCCTGAACCCGGGCGGGATCAGCAGCTGTGCGTTACCAGTGTTTCCATTACAAATGCCATTTTCCAGGGGTTCTTAACCAGGTTACATGCATTTGTTTGGGCTTGGAACCTGATATTCTGGGCAAGGTCTCAGACCTTGCACTGCCTTGTGGTTCCGTGTGAAATCTCATTACTGTCAGTTCGGCCATTTTCCCGGTTGAGAAACCAGGCAGTCGACGTGTTCCGACGCCGTTTATTCCTCGTGTTTGCATTGCAGGAGTAGCAACTGTTAAAGAAACGCCCTCCTTTCCTCTGATCCTGCCCACTCCACGAGCAACCAGATACGAGATGTGCTGGTGTTGTCAGGAAGTCTGAAAATGTGCGTTATTTCCCGAGCTCCTTAGCTTTACACAGCAAAATGGCCTGACATTTAAAATTAATCTACGCGGTAAAGTTATTAACGTTTGAATGTTAGCACTGGGATATCCACAGTGACCTCTCCTCCCACGCTGGTGTTTGTTTGATAAGGATTCCCAGGCTGTGACAGAGTCCAGAGCAATGCAGTCATACTTGCTTTTTATTAATTCGGATGCTGGGCCTCACCTTGGGAGATCTCCAAGCATTCTGCAGGAGGGCTCTGATTTCTCCAGGCAATAGCCCAAGCAGCCCTGAGCCAGCTCCTGCAGATGCCAAATAGGCTTCTTCCACCCAAAGAGACAACGAAGACCCAGAGAGCAGCCAACAGGATTTTTTAAAGCTGCTGGGGAACCATTGTTCTGGGGCTGCAACAAACACATAGATTACCATGGTTGTAGGGCATGAGCTCATCTGCTCACATCTCTATGTGTCCAGCTGGCTGTGTTAGCTCATGTCCTAGCGACTGGCCATCAACTGGCCAATATCTAACCAAGGTGATCAGAGAAAAGGCTGGTCCATCTGGCCATGCCTGTCCCCATCATGATATAGTGTACTTGCCTGTTGGCTTCTGGGTGACTTAAGTATTGATGGAGTCATAAGACAAACCTAAGGGAGCATGCTTGCTGACTTCTCTCGTAGGCAAGACTGTCAGGCAGGAAAGGCATTGCAGAAGATGGAACAGCATGAACAAAAGAACGGCAGCAAGAAAGTAAGGGGAATGTCGAGGAAAAAGGATAGTATGATTTCACTAGAGCAGTCTGTGTGGGAGCAGTGACAGGATGGAGGGGGAGAGTTTTGCAAGACTCAGTTCATGGGGAACCTTAATGCTAGAGTCTAAAGTGGAGAGTCTAGGTGGGTTGTCTTTTGAGGCATTCACAGTAGATTGATGTCATGGTCACACAGCACTTTCAGAGGATTAATGCAATGTCAGATTGGCGGATAGATTGGGGGAGGCACTGGAACCAGTTGCATCCAAGTGGAACTTCTTGTTGAGTTTTCTCCTTCCATCTCTCTGAGCTCCTCAGCCTTCTGGCTTTCCTCCTACTTCCACTGTTCATTCTCCCAGTCCTTCATCACCTGCTCAGCCTGCTTCTTGTAAATGAGGGTTCTCCAGGGTTCTGTCCTCTGCTTAATACCCATCTCCCTCTGCACACTCTGCCTGATGACCTCACCAGTTCTCCCAGTCACAGCTGCCACCCTGTGTTGCTGACATGCAGCTCCTCATCTCATGCTCATACTCTCCTCTGAGCACCTGTTCTCAGTACCCAACTGCACATGAACCTCCCCCGCCTCCTTGAGGAGCCTCACGGCAGGCGTGTCGGTCCATACCCGTGAGCCACCCTGGAGGCCTCAGTACTTAATTCCATGACAAACTCACCCTGGTTTTAGAAGGTGTTCCATCTTCACTCTTTCTGTGTTCTATGCAGCATGCTGGAATTTCTTTTTCCTTCTGGACCCTTAAACTTGTTAACACCTCTGACCTTTCTATCACCATTCCTCTGTTCATACTTCTTTCTCTCTCTCTTATTTGCCACCCTTCCCATTTATCTCTGCCTATAGAAATCCTTCTTGGGCCTAAAGCAGGCTCAAATGTTGGCTCCTCCCAGAAGGTTCTCCTTTCTCTGAGCTCCAGGGCCATTCACTTGTTTCATTTTGCCGTGTTGGGCGTATGAAGCTGGAAATGAACCCTGCTTCCTTGCCTGTCTGTTTCTCCAGGGTGGGTGCTGGTTAAGGCTCTAGGACAGTGTGGCCCTTCGGGAACCAGGCCATCCCCTGTACGTAATGGGTGGGCTTTATCCTAAGTGGAAATCATACCTCTTGCCCATCATGATTCTGTGTGGTGAAATGCTCAAAGCACATGGGATCCTTAAGTAGCTCACAGACTGAGGGTTGCTCTGGCCTTGGGGTTGAAAGAATCAAGAGCATGAAGAGGTTGGGAAGCAAGATGGTTCAGGCCAGGAGAAGGCAGGCCAGGAACCGGGAGCAGAAGCCCAGTCAAGGCTGTGTATTGAGGTGCACTGGGTTGAGGTTAGAGAGTGGGAGTGGCTCAGAGGTGACCTGGGAGTGAGTTACCAGGGGGTCTGATTGCTGGGGTGTGTGAGCTTTTCCGTCTTAGGTTCCCATTCTCTCCCTCCATATTTACTTCCCTTTGTTCCAGCGTATAGCGGAGTTGTTTTGCAAATTCCAGCCTGTTTCAGCTGGGCTTGGAGAAGCCAAGGAGAGAGTGTTTGCCTATCCTGGTGACACCAGCAGCTTTGGGGGCTCAAGGGTGATGTGGCCAGAGTGAGGGACCCTTGAGGAAGGCAAAGTTGGCGGATGGTCTGCCCCTTCACACGAGCCCCCTCTCAAGAGTCTTTCTTGGAGCAGAACTTGCAAAGTGCTAGGTGTTGTCTTGCTGAGAAGGCAGTTCTCTTACAGCATCTATCCATCCACTCCATGTTGGCATCTTGATGGTCAGGGGCTGTGTCTTTAACATCTTCGTCTGAGCCTGGAGCCCAAGCCCTGAGCCTCGTTTGAAGCAGGCTCAGTAAATACCCTTTATTTTCTTTCCATCTTTCCTTCCTCGCCTCCTCCTGTCTACATAAACATACTTCTATTGTGGAATGAATATAATTGACTAGTTTGAAAATGAGGGTTCAGGGAGAAGTGGAAGTCTACGTACTTTTGCAGGGGATGGCTGTCTCTTTCTCTCTTTCTCTCTCTCTCTCTGTCTGTGTGTGTGTGGGGGGGCGGGGGATGGAGAATAGAAAGGAGGTATGTTAGGGCAAGTAGGTATGTTAGGGCCAGGTGAGGAGGGGCAGAGCCTGCCCTGGACCACAGGGGTCCGCACTATCCAGTTTGTCTCCAGCCTTGGCCAATGGCCGCTTTCCTGCCCGCGGTGCTGATTTAGCTGTGGGCCTGCGGTTTTAGGAAGGGGTTATCTGGGAGTGAACAGGTGCTTCCTCTCCCTATTCCACCAAGTCTTTCTTCATTTGCAAACATGATCTGCTTTTGTTCAGCAACAGTCAGGCCCTGCCTGCTTCTCTACCTACCTCGTGAAGACACCACACAGGGCCTCAAGTGTTTCCTGGAAGGGGCCCACTGCGTTCTTTGGGAGAGGATAAGTGATTTCCTTGACCTCCGTTTCCTCCCTCAATATTAAGCTGTGTAAGTGGTAAGGCCCCCTTTAAAAAAAAATAGAATTCTAATATGAGGAAACATTTCTTTCCTATCCATTTTCATGCTGCTCTGAAAAACGTTCAATAAAAATAGCTTTAAGGCTTTAATACTTGAGGCGTTAAGATTTCTCTTATAGTTCTGTGACTGAAGAGTAAAAAATCTCATTTTGTGTGAAGATAAAATTATCCAGGTTATTATATAAGATATATAACACTCAAGATATATATTTATTTATGTACGTACACAGAAACACGCAAACAGGCAATGAGATCTGGGATCTACGTTTTGTCAGCCATCAGTGGGTTTACCAAGATTCCAAAGAACATGAATAGGAGAAAGTCTTGATGTTAGATCCCCATTTATGTTAGGCCCTCATCACTGATCTGGTAACTGGTTTAATTTTGAAATTTCCTTTCAAAATGTGAGCTGGTTGTTTTACAGTGCTGATTTATTTATTTGGCTATGGAGTACTAGAGAATATGGGAGAACTTGTGAATCCATGCAGTCTTAGCCAGACATGGAGATGTGTTAATTAGTTATTTAATATGGCTACAGTTATTTCCCAAGGAAAAAGAAATCCACAAACATGACAAGTAATTGCTATTAATCTTAATTATTGTAATAACCTTCCTATAAACAATAACTGTCTGGCTACCCATCATGTGTTTATTTCATTACTGACAAGAGAGATCTTTAAAAATCTCATGATAAATTAATGCTTTTACCATTAGCTTCAATATGCTGGCCATGGGGAAGAAAAATGATTGCTCAGTTTATAAAACTGTTGAAAAGGTTCTCTCACTCTACTGGTAATATTTTAGATTTCTCATCTTAACATAACTCTTCATTTTTTATTCCCTGTTCTCCAAACCTCTTCCCAATTTTGACTCTTTCTCTGTTTAAGTGGTTTTTGTTTCCTAGTTGACAGAGTGAATGCATATTTCTGTTTTGTAGTGATGTTTACAAGAATCCTCAAAGGATTTAGTGACTGGTCTCACTGATAAAGATGTCTGTGATACTGAAGGGTTATTATTATTAATTTTTTGCTTCAAGCCATAGTATGTCATGCTTAGACTTGTCTGAAATAGCAAGGGGGATGTGTTTATCTAGCATCTCAGATTTAGTGTGAGTAAACAGAGAGGTTAAGATACTGTCCCTAGGATACCCAGTGATTTAATTAAGGAAACAGGACCAGAATATATGTACATATGGGTTATCAAATGCTGGCTCCCCCCAATATCACCACAACAAACTGTTGATGTGCAAAGCTGAGTTTATTCTTACTGTGTGTCTTAGTTCAGGCTGCTATAACACACATATTGTAGACCGGGTGGCTTAAACAGCAAACTTTTTTCTCACAATTCTGAAGGCTGCAAAGTCCAAGATCAAGGTGCTCAGCAGATCCAGTTTCTGCTAAGCATCTTCTTCTGGGCTTGCAGATGGCCTTCTTCTCATTGTGTCCTCACATGGCAGAGGGCAGAGTGAGAGGAAGCAAGTGCTCCCCTATTTCTTCTTAAAAGAGCACTGGCCAGGCATGGTGGCTCATGCCTGTAATCCCAGCACTTTGGAGGCTGAGGCGGGCGGATCAGGAGGTCAGAAGTTCAAGACCAGCCTGGCCAATATGGTGAAACCCCATCTCCACTGAAGATACAAAAAATTAGCTGGGTATGGTGGCACGTGCCTGTAATCCCAGCTACTTGGGAGGCTGGGACAGGAGAATCGCTTGAACCTGGAAGGCGGAGGTTGCAGTGGGCCGAGATCACGCCACTACTGCACTCCAGCCTGGGCGACAGAGCAAGACTCCATCTCAAAAAAACAAACAAACAAACAAAAAAACCAAAACACAAAACACTAATCCCATTCATGAGGGCTCCATCATTATTAGGTTGGTGCAAGAGTAATTGCAGTTTTTGCCATTGAAAGTGGCAAAAACGGCAATTACTTTTGCACCAACCTAATACCTCCCAAAGGTCCCACCTCCAAATACTATCTCATTTAGGATTAGGCTTCAACATATGCATTTGAAGGGGATATAAACATTTAGTTCATGATAAGCGAGCCCCAGCTTGACAGAATTTGGACACGTCTCATTGCGGGAAGAGCGAAGTTGGAATATTTACCGCCACTTTGCAACCTGATTTAAGGTAGACGTTTCAATGTGGAAGCTTCATTAGGACTGGGTAAGAATCATGATCTAATAGTTTAAAATGGGTAGCCACAGCAAGGTGTTTGAAGAGTTTGAGAAGGGTTTCAAGGGTCTTAGAGTATAAACTGCCATTTGATGCTTTCTATTTGAAAGTTGTGACACTTTCAGAAAGTTGTTGCTTTGAACAACTTTTACCTTCCTGGGCAAGAATATCCTGGAAAGATGAAGTCATGTTAATGCGGACTGTGAGTTCCACGTATGGTTTGATTCCTAGTATGTATGTATTTAGTTATTGATGCATTTGGTGTTTTTTAAATTCACCTTTTGACGTTTGTTGATTTTATACTTGCACTACCACAGGCTGCTGTCTGTTTCATTTTAGCTGTCAGCGTCGTCGTGAATTTCCACCTCCTTCAATCCAGGGGCGCCTAATATTCTGAAATAGAAATAGAAATTTCAGCCCCTCTTCACCTTGAGCCATAAGGTCAAGTTTGACCTTTGCAGAAATACTTTTCTGTGTGAGTGAAAGCTAGAATTAACCTAGCTGAAATTATTCATTGAGACCCTGTCTCCCTGGACTTGGAGAAACTCATGGGGGCTAATGTATTTTGTACTCTAGTATTTCCAACCTTTGAACCAGTAGTTCTCCACCAGTGTGCCCTGGGGATACTAGAGAGGGAATTGTGAACCCTTACATGTGAGCAGCCAGAATATTGAGCAGTGGGTAAAATTAACTTTTGTGACAACCCAGTCTGGTGGGGACAGGAATGGGATGATGAGCTGAATGGGTCGCATGACCCAGTGTAGCTGCGGTAGAATGTGTTGCGAGAGTGATAGCATCATTACACATCTATGCCACAGGGAGATCACATGCTCTCCACAAATGCGGGAATTTTGCTTCCTTTATATGTAAAAGACAAGTAAATTGATGCACTCAGGCAGTAACACAATGCTGAAGTGAGTAGTGTGATCTTTTGTGTGGAATGTGGTCCCTTCAATTGTGCCGGCAAAAATTCTCACATTTGAAAGTATGCCATAAACGCAGAAATTCGAGAACATTGCTTCAAATAGTCTGTTAGTGTATTGGTTAAAGTAACTCTAGCTTTTGATACATACTGTTCAGATTTCAATGGCTTAACTCAATAGGTTTATTTCTAATCTGTGGAACAATCTACTTTGGTTGCTCCTGATTGGCAGATGACGTTCCTCCAAATGGCGGTTCAGGGATCCAGATATGTTTTAGCTCCAGGCTCCACCATTGCCTAAGACTTTGGAGTCTTCTGCTTCCAGCTGGCTGAAGGAGAAAAGAAGAGTGGAGATGAAAACACTCACTTCCATACACATTCCTTTAGGAAGTGTGGGAACACATCTAAATGCAAGAGTGGCCACACACAAATGCAAGGGGGGAGCTGGGAAATGCAGCTCCTAGCATGACAGCTGCCTCACAGTGACATTTCCATACCGTGGCAGGGGCAGCATGCATTGGAGGACAGCTAGCAGTCACTGCCACAATCAGTCTTCTGGATACCCAAAGTCTTTGCACATCCCTTTTTGTATACCTGGACCATCCTTACTTCTCCCCCGCAATGTCCAATTCATGCATTCAGTTCAAATTCCAGGAATTTAAACCATCAGGTCTGGATATGGCTCACTGTGACCCAGTAAGCAATGAACCAAAAGGCATGCAACCTGCCCTCTCCCCACACCAACCCAGTGAAAGTGGTGGAGCAGAGGAGTGTAAGCGCAGTGGACCCTCCTTTCACCAAATGAGGAATGGGAGACACAGCAGTCACTGGCCCATGCTGAAAACCCCTGCACAGCTGGGGGAAGTTCCTTGATTAGCCCTGATTCTGTTCTCTGGGAGGAACTTCTTGTCCACTATTCCCATGGCCCCTGTCTCCATGCACTGGAAGATTCTTCCCTTTCATCTTTCATGGGCATATCTTGCTTATTTCTTCTTGGTGTAAGTTGAAGGGGCTTGAGGGTTATTTAATAATCATAAGTTTTTTTAAAGGCTAGGATCATAGTTTCTTTGGTAATACAGTTTTGTCAAAAACTCAACAGGATTGTAAATAGTTGAATGTATCCATAACTTCACCCAAAGTTTTTTCCGAAATATAATTATTAAGCCAGGCTTATTAATTCACTTATTTTTCTTCATTTCTCTGTCTTAGCTCAATGGAAGCTATCTTGACACCATTTAAGACAATAGGCTTGGGTGGAAACTGAACAATCATTCTTGATTTACTCTTTGCTGCTTGACTAAGAAGCCTTGAAAGACCTTAGTTGCTTAAAGCAGTTTTCAGTCTTATCTGTTACTGTGTGGGGTCTAGCAGTTGGGCCCTAATTTCTGGATCCTTTCTACTCACTTTCATTTTTGATTGCAAACCAGCCATTGTTTTTTCTGAGCTCATATCTTTCTTTTCCTCCTTGTTAAACCCTGCCTCTCCTCAACCACTTTCCTTAAGTAGGGACTCAGTCTGTTCCTCTAGTAGTGGCAGAGGACGGTTCCAAATGTCTTGCCATTGCATGACATGGGTCTCCATCTTTCCAACCTCTGATTGTCTATTGCTTTATCTGTTGCTTCATCTGCTGTCCCATCATGGAAGTGGGAGGGGTACAACACATACTTTCTATTTCTGGCATTGTGCACACCGCTTGTTCTGCTGTCTCCATCTGTCCCAGGCAAGTCTGCCTGATCCACTTCACCCTTACCTTTGGCCACTTTGACTACTATCGACTCTCCCTCCCATGGCCTTGTGTCTGAACCCAAGTTTCTGGGCTTGTTGTGATTTTTCAAATGCTCTTGGCATTCTTGAGCTGAGTATTATTTTATTGTTAGCCACAGATTATGGGTAATTTTTCAATTGATTTTTGCTGTTTACAAAGCGTGTCATTAATTAATACTACAGCTAAGGTATTGAGTTCTGAAAATAAGTGTAGACAAAGACTGTGTGTGAGCAGTTCAGAGTGCCCAGTTCTGACTGATTGAATTTCCATAGCGACTGATTGATTTTGACATCAGTCTTGGAAGCACATTCGTAAAGGGACAGGTTGCAGCAATCATTCTTACAGTGAAATCAGGTGATGCAAACTTTGTATGTCATGTAGAACACAATAGTATTAACACTTTTTTTTAAGTAGATAGTTGAGCATGTCCAGTTCAATGGCTGAAATGCCACTAAATATAAAATAAAACATTTATATTCTGTGGTTATTGTGGACCATCCTTGGGAAAATGAAGCAGGAATATGTTCACATAAAAATCTTCAGTGTTCACATCTTACCATTAGGCCAGGGGAATATCTAGTGAAGTCTAGCTTTAGGATAGAGTTTCATATACTCTTGAAATCCTACTTAGTTTAACCAGCTAATGTCCAAAGTCAGCTGAGAAGGAATCTTTGTTAATGACTAAGGTTATCCAGGCAAGATGGAGAGATCTGTATTGGTCAGGAAATGCTATGCTATGTGATTGCAATGAGGAGCCCTCAACTCTCAGTGACTTAACCTAAAAAAGTTCTCTTTCTCACTCAGTCTCAATCTGATGTAGTTTGGGAGGCTCTTCTGGAAGGATCCATACTTTCTCCATCTTGTCCTGCTGCCATTTTTAATATGTGGCTTCCACAGTTGTTGTATAAGATGAAGAGACAGTGTGGGCAATTATGGAGGGAGTTTTATGGCCAGGACAGCAAATTCAATATTTAATTTCTGCTCACAGCCCATATCCTGTGGCTCCAATGTAACTGCACAGGAGGCTGGGAAATGAAGTCTTCTCCTGGGCCCAAGCAGAGGAAATGAGATACATGAGCATTTATCCCATTTCTGCTTTGGGACAATAATGGAATTCCTATATATGTGAGGTGAGGAGAAGGGACAAGGCTGAAGGAATGGAGCACAGAACTTTTCAGATGTGGGATCTGCTGGTTTATGGGAGTAATCCGATATTGGTGTGATGAAGTAGGAGAACACCCCAAAGTTTTGTGCTGAGTTTCTGGGAGAAAGGTAGAGGGCTGCTTTTGGCAGGGGTGGAAGGGAAAAGAAAAAGAAGAGTCTGTTGTATGTAAACTTTTGCTCATGCTTCTCCTCTGGCCCCATTTATCTTTTTGTCCCACTATGGGAAACTGGTCGTTCACACATCGACACCATGTTGAGCCTGCAGCGTGGCAGCCTCCAACCCACGAGGAACATGGAGGTGGGCTCACTGGTTTGCTGGGTCTTGCTTTATCTGCAGCATGCATTGGGTTAATATTTCCTGTTTTCCCTTTGGGTAAATTAGTGCCCCCGCACACTGTTCAAACTCCATTTGAGTTTCTGGAGGATTCGATAAAGCTGTCAGGCCATCTTCACTGAGCTTAAGTTTTCTCTCATAATTGCGGTAGTGAAGGAGCATCCACCAATCAGCCTTCCTGTGGCTGAGAATGAAACCTATTTTCTTCTTGATAATATAAATGAATTCATGGTTAATAAAAAAAAATCATTATTTCTCAGAGTGGGTGCATCATGGCTCTCTGCCAAGAGCACTTTGAAGTGAAAATGGGGGTCCTTTGGTCATTATTTGGTTAGCTCAAGTCTTTCTGGAAACTAAAAAGGATCATATTTGCCCTTATTTCCTATCATCTGGACATCTGAGGGGACTGAGAGGTGGGCTCTGTGCGAGGACCACCCCTAGTGGAGATGCGTGGCACTGCAGCAGCCCGTTTGCTTGGCCCTAGCGTGTGAAGCTGATCCGGGAGTGAACAGGGCTGACTTCAGCCTCCATCTGCAGGTGATAAGGACCCCTCATGGGGCTGTGGGCGAGGGCTGAGGGATCAGGACCAAGGCAACAGTGGTGGGTGACAGGGGTTGGAACTATCTGCTCATGGAGCGTCCTGTGCCCTGTGGCTCTGTTTGTGCCCAGGCCCTGATGTGCCACTTTGATCTTACGAGGGATTGCTGCTGGGCCCACCTGACTTTTGGACTCAGAAGGTCTGACAGAAGCCAGTCATGGTGTGTGCTTCTGCCCACATGATCCTCTTCTTTTTTTTTGAGACGGAGTCTGTCTTTGTCGCCAGGCTGGAGTGCAGTGGTGCGATCTTGGCTCACTGCAACTTCTGCCTCCCGGGTTCAAGCGATTCTCTACCTCAGCCTCTGGAGTAGCTGAGACTACAGGTGCGTGCCACCATGCCCAGCTAATTTTTGTAGTTTTAGTAGAGACGAGGTTTCACCATGTTGGCCAGGATGTTCTCAATCTCCTGACCTCATGGTCTGCCTGCCTCGGCCTCCCAAAGGGCTGGGATTACAGGCGTGAGCCACCGCACCCGGCCCGCATGGTCTACCTTATGCCTGAGAATCACATTCCTTGTCTCAGCCAAGGTCCAGTATTGTGCGAGGAACTACTTTCTGAGCAGTGTGTGGTTCTCGGGTGCAGATGGCATGGCCATGTGCCAGAGCCCCAGGTGACTATGCTGTGATTCTCCTATTGGAAAGTGCTGTTAACTTCACATAGTGTCTTTTCCTTCTACTCTAACAGGGGACCCTGGATTCCACTTCAGTTCCCTGCATATCAATTGCGACTTGGACTGTATTCACAGTCTTTGAAAAGTCTTGAGTATTTTTATTTCTCCAAGGTATGGCTTTCCTGCTAGTCCTTTCCTTGGGAGAATTGTTACTATATAAACTTGTTGTGGAGTTTTAGGGCCCTTCCTCCTGGGGACATGGCCTTTCCTTTAGTCAAAGGGCTATGGGTCTGAGAGTTGGCTTAGGTCTAGAAGCTGGTCTAGGGATCATTACTTTTTTTTTTTTCTTTTTTTAAATCAGAGCAACTTGCCTCCTGATCACCCCCCAAACCCTGACACCTTTTTTCTTTTGATTGTATAAGTTATGCAATACGCTTATTAGCCACCTGTCTGTCTTACCCCTAGGAACACAGAAGCCTCAAGTAATTGCAGTTCTAGTGACTGGGGGGAATGAATGCCTCTGTCACAAGAGGAGGATCTGAGAGTCATACCACAGCATACACTACAACTTTCCACCTTGAAAAGGCTGCTGAAACTATCACAGAAGTGATTTTAGCCATTCAACACTGACTGCGTAACTGTCCATTTCTATAACAGTTTGGTCTACTTTAAGCATAAGTAGATTGACCACATGTATTTTTCTTTTCTCCCTCTTGAAACACCACTAAAATGCTAGTAAGGGAATAAAAGTGTTATAATGCTGTGAGGCTAAAGAGGATAGAAATGGAGGCAAGAGTAGATGAGTAATTACAACAAATATTTGGAAAACAGAAATTGAATGAAGTGGTAACTAATTAAACTAAGTGGAGGCATTGTAATTTAAGTGTCTGCAAAGGATGATACCAATGAGAAGTGGACCAGTTTGCTCTTCTGGAAGAAGGGTTCAGGAGCAGGAGATGAAGAGTCTCAGGGGAGGCAGGAGTAAGCTGTGGACCTGAAATTACAGGGTTGGTTGATAGCTGTGTATGAAGGGCTTAGAGTCCCAGTATCATGATCCACCCCTTTGAGGCATGACTCACTATCTGTCTTAGCAGCAAAGGCTATTTGCAAATAATGCAAATGCTGTCAAAACAACAAAATTACTGATTCTTGATTTAATAACCTATTCTGTGTACCTTTTATGCGAGGTTGGGAGGAGGAGAAGGGAGGTTATGGGGGTATGTGATCATTAAATCCTTATCCAGCATAAAAGGAGATCAATGCATAATGTCTAAAACTGACAAATCAAGGTATATGAAGTTATATATGAGAAGAAACAGGTCAAATTGATGGGAGTGGTTATCTCTTGAGACCAGAACTGGTGGGGGTGATGGGGAGAAGTAAAGAAGGAGATGGCTGTTTCCCCTTGAAATGTTAGCTCTATGTGAGCTTTATTTAGACCACGTGCATGGATTATTTTGATACAAATAAGCACTAGTTAAAGGTAAATATTCAAATCATCTTTCCCCTGTGATCTAGGCATTCATCGATTCATACATTCATGGCAGCCCTTATTCATTTGTTCAGTCATTTAATATATATTTTTCCAGCTCCTTCCTCCTCTTGGGCAAAAATTGGACTGGTATGGGGGATGGAGGGGCAAAGATCGATCACGTCACATACTTTGAGGTTTAGTTGGAGAGCAGACAGCCCTGGATGATCAGTGCTGTAGCACATATGAGCACAGAGAATGGGGACCCAGCTCTGGGGAATTTTCTCTTGGTGGCCTCTAGAAGAGTACCCCCACCCCTGGTTTTCTTTCTGGCCAAATTAAACATGAAAGTCCTACAGTTGCAGGGTCTGGGTGTCTTCCTGGGCTGGTGGCTTGTGAATTTGCACAGGCAAAGCTGACCTGAGGGAGACTGGGCAATGTCTGGACCTGTTCTCAGATCCAGGTGGTTGAGGTCTCTTGTCCCCTGTCTGTGTTAGGTATGGAAAAAAGGCCCAGGTAGAAGAGAAAGAAGGGAAGGAGACCAGACAAGAAGGAAGAAGTGGGCTGAGAGGGAGAACAGGAAAGAGATGTCACTGGATAAGGACTACCACTTGGAGGCTGCTGAGGACGTAAAAGGGGACTTTTGTTTAGACATTGTTTTCAAACACTGTTGAAGTACTTTCTTCATTTTTATTTTCCATCTTGTGGAAATTTTGTTATTTTTACACTGTCACAGAACAAATGGAACTGTGACTTGGCGATCACAGTGTATATAGCTGTTTGGGTATACTTTTGACAGTTCTATCACGTTTCTGACAGACATAATGCTTTTCTCCCCTGGGAGATTGGGAGGGGGATACAAGCTCCCCAGATGATCTGACTCTGCTCAGGGCTGTGTCCAGGTGGGAAGCCTCTCTGGGTCACAGGGAATTTGCTGAGAAGCCAGTCCTGGGCGTCAGAAAACCCCAGCAAGGAGGACTGGGTTCCTGTGAGGGGAGTAAGGGGGAGGGAGGTCTTTGGGGTGTGGAGTGGTCACTTTCAGCCTCTGAGCAGAAATCCAGGTCTGACTCTGCAAAGTCACAGTGGTCCTGGATGGAGAGGACATGCAGCAGCTGAGCTGGAGGTGTGGCAGCAGGGACTTTGCTTGGTGGAATGAGATGAGGGACTTGACAGTGAGCAGCTGGGCCTGGGACACCAATCTCGCTGAAGGGCAGGTGCCTTGAGGCTGGAGCCTCTGCCGAGTGGACAGAGATGTCCTGAATACCCCTGGGCTCTGATCTCCCTTGTTTTCTGTGGAAGGAGCGAGAGTGAGGCCTGGGGCAGGTGGGAGGCGGTCTCCAGGCAGGAAGGCCCCCTGATGCCCTTGCAATGCTCCACTAAGAAGTAGCCTGTTTGAGCATCAGAGCTGTGATGCTTGCTGTGATCACCCTGCACCAACTTAACTGACCACGATCTCCTGTGATCCTCAGTGAAACCCACAAATACTTCTGCAACATGTTATTGCAAATAATAATAATAATGGTTAACAATGATAAAGGGCTTAGTGTGTGCCAGTCTCCAGCATTGCCTCATGGAAATCTCACAGCAGCACTTTGAGGAGGAAACTGTCTGAGGCTCACAGAGGTCGGGTTCACTGTTTTCCATGTCTGATTCCTCTAACCTATTTGGACTCACAGTGGCATGGACTGGACTTATTCTCCTTGTGTGCTGGGGTGTGAAGCCACTTGCTCGTTGAATGGATGAGTGTGTGAGTGAACGGATTGGAGCCAGGCACCCACCTTTCTCCAGAAAAGAGATTATCCAATTTGATTTCTACTGGTTTTACATCCCAAATTCTGTGTTTGAAATTCTTCAAGCAGCCACCTGACTTGTGAATTGATCCCTGAGGTCTAGAGATATCTTTCTAAATGCCAGGACAAAATCGGTTTTCCAAGGCCCCTGGAAGGAGAGTCCATCATCAACTGTCAGCAGAAGTGTTCAACCCAGAGGAAATGCAGGCCTGGGCTGGTCCATTCTATGAGGTTTCTAGAAGGGATGGGATGGGGCAGGTGAGAAATGATTTCTGGGTCTAAAGCATCATTTCTGATGTCTGAGATACAAATGTAGTTATCTTCTGATGTGGCTCTTACCCAGTGGCCATGCTGTGGCTTGTGAAGATCATATTACCCATTGAAAGTGGTTTCCAGTGGGATTTATTCAAAATATGACATGTAGTCATGCTTGTCATGACTTGGTACTTTTACAAGTACAGTCATGCTTGGTACTTTTAAGTACCAAGCACTGTGCTTAGGGTTCTACACGGTTTGCACAAAAGTCAGTGCAGAATAGGTACTAAGACGCACATAGAACAGTGGTTGAATACCTAAGCTCGAGGGCCAGCGCCTTGGGTTCAAATTATGGCTCTGACTTAGGGAACATCACTTCAGTCCTGTGTGCCCTGTTTTCCTTAATGCAGAGAGTCATTTTCCTATCATATGGGGTTTTAATTTTTAAAATTTTGTTACTGAAATATACATACAGAAAAGTACACATATATAGGTATACAGTTGATTAAGTTTTCACAAAGTGAACATACACATACACCCAACACCTCATTCAAGAAACAGTCACTAGCACCTCAGAAACCTCCCTCATCCCTCCAGGGTAGGAGAGGGTACACTATTCCGACCCGAAGGATAAATGCTAATCTGACTTCTAATGCCATGGATTAATTAGTTTTGCCTGTTTGCAAGCTTTGCATAGATAGAATAATACAATAGATAGTCTTTTGTGTTTAATTTCTTTTTTGAACATCATATTCTTGAGATTCCTTCATATCATTGTGTATAATTGTGGTTATTCATTCTCATTTAATCTGGGAGTGTGTTGATACAACAGTGCTGCTATCGTACATATATTTTGGTGCAGTTATACACACATTTCTATTGAGTGTGTACCTGGGAATGAAATGGCAGGGTCATAAGGTGATATGGTTTGGCTGTGTCCCCACCCAAATCTCATCTTGAATTTTAGTTCCCATAATCCCCATGTGTGGTGGGAGGGACCTGGTGGGAGGTAATTGAATCATGGGGACCATTTCCCCCATGCTATTCTCATGATAGTGAGTAAGTTCTCACAAGAGCTGATGGTTTTAAAAGGGGATTCCCCCTTTGCTCAGCTCTCATTCTTCTCCATCTTATCACCCTGTGAAGAAGGATGTGTTTGCTTCCCCTTCTGCCATGATTGTGTTTCCTGAGGCCTCCCCAGCCATGCTGAACTGTGAGTCAATTAAACCTCTTTCCTTTATAAATTTCCCAGTCTCGGATATGTCGTTATAGCAGTGTGAGAAAGACTAATACATAAGGTAAGACGTATGTTCAGGTTTCATCAATACTCCTGGACAATTCTGCACAGTGGTTGTCCACTGTGGTTGTCCTCACCATCAGTGAGGGAGATGTTCAGCTGCTCTATGTCCACACCAACCTTTGAGATTTTCTTTTTCATTGTGGCCCTTCTGATGGGTGCAGAGTGGCACTGCACTGGGGGTACAATTTGCATTGCTGCCCTTGGGCTGTTGGAGAATTAAATGAATCAATGTGAGACAGGCACTTAGTACCTGCAGAGTAAGCTCCATGTTAGCTGGTTAGGTATCTTGGGAAGTCAGGGATGTCCCTGGAGGCTACCTCCTCTCAAGGAGAAATGGTACACATTTACTGACTCCCTCCTTCCAGTAGGAGATGTTGTGTCTGGGGTTTGAAGCTGTCAGTGATTGCAGCTAAGATTCTTAGAACTGAGTGAGTGAGGAGCCCAGGATCTCAGGGACTGAATGAAGAGGCAGACACTCTGCTTCCCAGTGTCTCTTAATAACTGGTTTCCCGTGAAGTGATTTCTTCCCTGACTTCCCACCCGGCTCTGATTCAGCTGGGCAGAGAAGTACTGGAGCAGGTGCTAATTTATGATTTAGATTTTTTTTTCCTAAAAAGATGCTCCAAGCTTTAAAGAGTCAGCATGGAGCACTGGGCATTGGAGTCCAGTTCCTCAGCATCCTGCACCCTGGAGTGTCTCATGCTGCCGAGAGACAGGGAGTTGGGAGAGGGCAGAGAGAGGGCACCTGGTTTCTGTGGACAAGGTGACTCCTAGGAACTGAAATGGTAGCCTGCATCCCTGGAGTCCTTTTTTCTCAGATTTCAGAGACGTCCCACCTCCACCCCCTCCTTCATCCTTGTATGTAACCTGTGGCCAAGGTCTCCATAACCCTCGAATTCCCTTTCACCCATGTTAGCATCTCCGATCTCACAACGTCTGCCTTGGTTCAGGCCAAGATGGCCTTGTGCCTAAATTCTTGGGGTAGCCCCTGCTGCTTCCCGAGAGCTCTTGCCAAGAGAACCTGAGTATGTTAGTTTGCTCCGGCTGCCATAACAAAGCACTCCAAGCTGGGTGACTTAAACAACAGAAAGTTGCTTTTCACAGTCCTGGCTACTAGAAGCGTTGGCAGATCAAGGTATTGGCAGGGTTGGCTCCTTCTGAGGCCTCTCCCTTGGCTTGTAGATGGCTGTCTTCCTTCCGTGTCTTCCCGGGGTCTTCCCTCTGTGCCTATCTTTGTCATAATCTCTTCTTCTAACAATGTGAGTTATACTGAATGAGGGACCACCTATTTGACATCATTTTACTGTAATCACCTCTTTAAAGACCTTGTCTCCAAATACAGTCATATTCTAGGTACTAGTGGTTAAGACTTCAACACATGAATTTTGGGGAGGTCACAGCTCAGCCCATGACAGTGACCATGAATTTTTCTGCATGTAACACATCCAGGTGACACAGGTCCTGAAACATGATGTTTATTTTGCTTTCTTGCATTTGCTCATGCTCTTTCCCCAGCTTTCAGTGCTTCCTTCCATCTTCTCCATCTCTCCAAAGCCTGCCAGTTCAGTGCCCCTCCAGCATGAAACTTCTGTCTTCAGAGACCACTCTCCTTGACTCCTACTATGCTTTCTGTCTGTTCCACTTGATCGAACGCTTAATCCCAGTTTTCTTCTGTTCTCTGCTGTTTTGCTGAGGGGGTTGTGTCTATTCTGCTTGGCTATGTGCTCCTTGAAAACAAAAGTCATGTTTTCTGTTCACATTTACATCTATTTAGTGTCAAGCATGTGGCTGGTGATAAATAATATTGTTGGTTGATTAAAAACCAACTTTCATGTGCCCTGTGAGGAGCTGCCTAAATGTTAAACAAAATAGTTGGTGGGGAGGGGGAGTGCTGTAATCCCTGATGGCCCGGGAGCTGCTGGCACAGGCATTTCACTTTAAGAGGCAATGAATTCAGGGACCTGGAAAAGGTTTAAACATGAGTCTTAAATTATTTGCTCAGCTTTGATTTTTATTTTACAAGATGCTGGGGCAGTGCTGGGAGCTATTTGCAGAAGGGGTGCATAAGAGAGATGAAGAGAGACTGGAAGTGGATTTACCTAGATGTTGCCTCATAGAAAAATATGTGTGCACTGGTTAGGGGCTTCTCTGATTCAGAGGCATGAAGAACTCCAGGTTCTGCCCCTGGGCTCACTGGAGGGAGATTTGATTTCTATTCCTGCTTTTTTGTCCCTCTGCTGGGGATGCGTTGAGCTAAGCCATTGTTGAGAATGGCCCCTCTGAGGAAGAGAAGGAAGATCAGCTATTTATAGGCTGAAGTCAGACGTGACCCACCTTTTCAGCCTGTAATTTACAGTATATGATGAGAAAATGAACTTCTATTGCTGCAGGAATGTGAAAGGACGGGAGACGGATTTTTCAGCAGTTTGGGCTTTGGCTTATGTGCTTATGAGACGTCTATGAAAATGGCCACTTGGCTTTGCCAGAAGACGGCTTTCCCTGGGCTGCAGTCACTGAGGCAGAGGGTGCCCATGTCCTGTCTCTCAGTGACTGATAGCATATTCACAGCTATGTGGGTGGTGGAGGGAGGGGAGTTTCTGTACCAGGGTGGGGGAAAAGAGGTACAGGAAGAAATGAGCAGAAACACAATGTCTTATGATTTAAGGGCTCTGGCTTCATAGAACTGTAGAAGCTGTGTCTGAGAAGTGGTCTCACTGGGGAATTGGTTTAGATTGACTTTTGACCACAATCTTGGCTATTATTTGGGCTAGAGCTCCCAGCCTGACTCAGAAGCCTTTGATGAAGCTCCGAGACTGAAGATAACTTCCCATCCCTCAACAAACTCTATTTCTGGAGCTCTCTAGAGGACATGTAAAACTCAGTGTATGCTCAACCAAGTAACACATTTTAATCAAATATCTACTGCAGACTAGGCACTGAGCTGGGTGTTCAGGTGAATAAGGCATGCATGGCCCCTCCCCTGAATCTAGGCAGAGACTGTCATCATTCTTGTCCTCTCAGCCTCCATGCAGGCTCCCTGAGCCTGGTATTTACCAGGATGCTCACTAAGCAACTCTGTGGGCTGCACCTGAATCTGTGCTAGCTCCTAGCTAAGTCCTTGCCTACTGAACTTGCATTTCTGATGTAAATCCTTGGTGTGAGATGAGGTTGCCAGGAAGGTGTGTGGAATGGGAAGAAAAAAGATGAGGACAGAACCTTGGAGAAAATCAACAGGGGAAGCCAACCACCTAAAGGAAATGGTGAATGGGCAGAGAGAGAGAGAGAGAGCTAGAAGAAACAAAAATCTTAGGTCATAGAAGTCATGATATCAGAGAGTTTCCAATAATTTTAAAAGCAGAAGAATAAGAATTTGGTAATTGGGAGGTGATATGGTTTGGCAAATCTCATCTTGTAGCTCCCATAATTCCCAGGTGTTGTGGGAGGGACCCAGTGGGAGACAACTGAATCATGGGGGCAGGTCTTTCCCATGCTGTTCTCGTGATAGTGAAAGGGTCTCACGAGATCTAATGGTTTTAAAAATGGGAGTTTCTATGCACAAGCTCTCTCTTGCTGCCATCATTTAAGAAGTGACTTTCACCTTCCGCCATGCTTGTGAGGCCTCCTCAAGCCACATGGAACTGTAAGCCCATTAAGCCTCTTTCTTTTGTAAATTGCCCAGTCTCAGGTATGTCTTTATCAGCAGCGTGAAAACTGACCAATACAGGAGGTCATAGGTAACTCTTTGGACTGTCATTTCATAGATGTGTTGGGAGCATAGGCAGTTGGTTGAAAGGTGAATGGGAGATGAAGAAGTGTAGACAGAGAATGTGGCCAGAGAACGCTCTCTCTATTTTCATTAGATCAAGTTTTTAATCATGTTTTTCAAATCTTCTAAATCTTTAGTAATTTTTGTTCTTCATTAAGAAATTAATTGTTAATTATTGAGAGAGGTGCTAAAATTCCCCATTGTGATTGCTGATTTGTCAATTTCACATGCTAGTTTTGTCAATCTTTGCTTTATATATTTTGTGATTTTATTATCAGGTGTGAACAATGTTAGAATTGTAGTATCTTCTTGAGAAATTATTCTTTTTATTTTTTGGCAGTGAACATCTTTGTTTCTAATAATCTTTTCCCCTGAAACTCCATTTTATGAGGCTTCTTTTGGTTGGTATTTAACTAGCAGATCTTTTTTCCGTCTTTTTACATACAATAACTTTCTTTTTGCTTTGAATTTGTCTCTTGTAAAGAGCAGAACACTAGTTTAGTGTTTGCTCCAATCTGATGATCTGGGTTTTAACAGCTGAGTTTAATTCATTTAACTTCTTGTGATTAGTGACATATTTATATTTATTCTACCATTTTTTCTTTGCTTTGATTTTCCCCTCTCCCTTTCTACCTTCTGTGCATAGGTAGCATTTTATTTATTCTCCCTTATCCCTTCTAAGGAATTCAAAAGTTATATATTATTTTCCCAAGATATTCAAAAGTTATATTTTATTTTCAGAAGATATTTTCAAAAGTTATATATTATTTTCCCATTTTCTAGTGGTTACTTTTAAAACCATTTCATGTATATTTTACCTAATGGTCAAAGCCAATCAATAACTCTATCATCCTTCTGAACAATGCAAGGAATTTAGAAAGCTTTAACAGTTTTCTATTATAGGTATTTTTTGTCCAATGTTTTAGTTCCATCTTGATTATTATGACCTCCAAATTAATCATGAGTATTATTATTTATATTGATATTATTTAGGTTCATACACATGCCTACTCATGTGTTGTTCACATTTCTTCTTACATCTGACTCTTCTGGTTTCAGTTTCCTTTTTCCTTTCATCCTCTTTGGAGAAAGAAACTAATTCTTTCAGCAAAAGTCTGTTAGTGGTAAATTCTTTCAGTTTAAATGCTTAATCTTCAGTGATAACCTTGCAAGGAAATAGAATTCTAAGTGGACAGTGACTTTTACTTTTAATCAGTGCTATGAAAATAATATTCTATTGTCTTCTGGTTTTACTGGGGTTGTTAAGAAGTTTGCTAATACTCTTTGCAGGTAATGTGTCATTTTCATCTAGTACTGTGTTTACTGATGGCAGAAACTGACCCCTCAATTTCTATTTTTCATTAACCTCACAAAAACACCACTCTTAATTTCGCATGATTGAGTTTTTTGGACTCTGTTTATGAGTTATATGGCAGAGTTTTATGAATTAGTAAAACATAATTTTACTTTGTTATTCTTAGATAAAATAAATAAAAGTTAAGATTCTGATACTTTATTCCTACCCCCAAGGGATCATGTTATGTATGAATACCCTGGGGTTTAAAAAGTGGGGGTATGCAAAAAATCATTCCATTTAGGAGGCTTGCTATCATTTTAAGAAGCTTGTCTGTGAATAAAAGAGTGGAAAAGGTGGGAAGTTTGTATATATTTGGTTTTGTCAATGTAAGAGATAGACTTAAGTATTTGTAATCTGTGCAGAAAGAACCCAAAGTGGGGGGGGGGAGGGTGGAGTCTGAATATATAAACAGAGAAGAGAAAACTGATGAAATAGACATCATGGAGAGCTTGAAAATGAAGCAGAACTTTTCCTTCTCTGAGATGAGGACTCCGTATTTTCTGCCTTTGATTGTCGAGCTTCCAGATCTTTCTTCTGAAGGTGAAATTCACTCAAGCCACCCTCAACTCCCCCCACCCCCCTGACCTTGACCCTGATCGTGTTCTTCAATAACTTCTTATCACCTAATGAACGAAGTCTGAGCTTCCAATATGACATTCAAGGTCCTCTGAGATTTAGATTTTTCTTACATTAGACCATTTCTTAAATAGTCTTATCTCCCATTTCTCCTTTTTACATACTCTGATTAGTGAAATTAATCAACTTGGTGTTTTCTGAACATGCTCTACGTGTTCTCATCTCCTCATTTTTGGTCCTGAGTCCTTTCATCCTGGTAGGCTAGTGCCTCCCCATTTTCTCATGTATCCAGATATCTCTTATTCAAGGTCCAGTACAAATCTCTTCTTCTGCTGTTTTCCTTTCTTGATTCCTCCAACTAGAAGGAATTTCCCCCCTCTGTGCCCCCATAGAGACTTGGGCCCTTCCTGGCAATAGTCCTCACAGCTTGCTTGTATTTTGTTATTGAATATGAGTTTCTTCTACCAGACTAAAAACTTGTAAGGACAGTTAGAACATGTCTAATTCATCTCTGTGACCTTCAGCATACCTCATACATTAGACATGTCTCCAAATGGCCATGAGTGAATGAATATGAATGTGAAAGAGATTTGTATTTACATCAGTATGAGGTTGTTGCCAAGAATTATGAGAAGTGTTTCTACTAGCTGGGTGGCCTGCAGGTCTCTTGCAATTTCTGTAGAGTGTCTGTGGGCCTGAGGGTGGGAGTAGACCTCATACTGCACTCCTCTTTCAGCCCTGGCTTGTGAAAGAGCCACAGAACTCATTCTGAAAACTTGAGTAGCAGAGAAGGAGTGAGATAGAACTAACTGGGAGAGCATCTTTGCCGCTTCATTGCAAGAGGGAGGTGCTCCTGACCTTGGTTACTAGCCTTGGCCTGAGAGTAAGATTTGACCCAGTCCTAGGCCCACCCCCACTTTGAGATCTCTAGGGATGATTTTGGTCCTTGTTCACTCTGATAGTCTTTGGGGCCTCTCCGGACATGACCTTTTTGTCCATTATCTCCCTTTCTTCCCATTGCTTGATCACTTGAGTGCATTTTTTGCCTCTTGTGGTATTCAAGGAGGATCAGCCAATTAATCTGTCTATCTGGTTCTAATGAAGAATGATAAGGGTCCTGAGAGGCTGGATATTCATGAGTCAATCATTAGTTCCTGGAATTTCTCTAACTTCTCTAAAGGACTGATACAAAGTAATGAGTGGAAGCCTGAGAATGTTCCAGAATCTGACAAAGACGAAGCAGGTATCTTTGTGGTGAAGGTAAGAGCCTGCACTGTCTGCGGCCTCACTGAACCAGAAAAATGTCTTGTTGTCCACCTATAGCTCAAAGAGACAGCTGGGCAGGAACTTTCTAGGAACTTTTATGAGATCTAATACAAAATAAAGACTGCAGAAAGGGACCACAGACCTACATTTTGCCCCATTAAAATAAAGCAAAGTAGCCTCTGCATTTTCTCTCCATTGTTCAGCATGGCTCAGCTACTCAAAGGGTTTGGCATTGTCATCCACCAAAAACACTGCATCCTCTTGACAACCATCATGGCATATAGCAGGTTCTTGAGAAAAATTTGTGCCTTGGCTGGTTGGTAATGCCCAGCCCTCAAGTGCTGTTTTTCTCATCGTGAACTCTCAGGAGAGTAGGGGCGTGAACTTACCTGTATGTGCCCACCATGTCCTAGGACCTATGCTAGGGCCTGGCAAACTGAATGTTCAATATAGAAGGTTCACACTCATGCTCCTCCCCTAGGAGTTCATGATGAGAACGACAGTGTGAAATACACTAAGCTTCCTGCCACGCAAATTAAAGGCTTTGCTCTAAGAACAGCAAAGGCCATTTCCTGCAAGAGCAACTTCCAGCAGGTTCTCTGTGCCCGGATTCAGCATGCAGAGCAAACTGCCCACAGGGGGCAGAGGCACTGGCGGGGGAAATTTTATATGATTACTGGGGTGGAGACAGACTCTCAGCAGCTCAGCGCCCTGCCAGGCCCACTGAGCAACCACCCCTTGTTTCGGAGCAAGGCTTTCCACAGCAGTGGTATTCTTCTCTTTGTCTGAGTTGTAAAATGTGGCTGAATGATAGACAGGATTGGGAGAAGCAGCCTCAGTCCTGAATTCTTGGACTTGTCCACATGTTATGAGTTCTGGAGGGCAGAGATGACCCATTTGACAATCCCTTACTAGACCCTTCCTGTGAGCTGTGCAGATCCTATGCTGTGGCCATTCCAGGATGGTGTTTCCTCAAAGGTGCCCTGAGTCTGACAGGGGAGCCAGAAATACACAAAGAATGGAGACAGAATGTGATCCATGCAGTGCAGCGTGTCTCAGTCTTTTAAACATATGTCTCCTTTGGAGAAACGTATACATCTTGAAAATTCTTTTAAAGTTTGTGTTTCAAAAGCAATAGAGTGATTTATTTTTTGGTTTCCAAATATGAAATTATAATATTGAATATATTTAAAAGACTACATATGTCCTCCCTGAGGATGTTTTAAACATTTTTTTTATTGAGGGATAATGTACATACATGAATTTTACATACATATGCGTTTGTATGAATACCATCCGGCTATAAAAGGAACATTTCCAGTGCCCCAAAAGGCTCCTTCACGGTCCTTCCAAGTCGGTGCCTCTCACTCACTCATCCAGAAGTAACCACTATTCTAACTTCCATCAGTGTGGATTAGCTTCGCCTGCCCTTGAACTTCATCTGCACACAATCATATATTTACGATCCATGTCTGGCTTCCTTTGCTTATATTACATGTTGTTGCATGTAGCAGTGGTTGATTCTTTGTCATGGTTATGTAGTATTCCAACATGTGACCCCCCACGCTCTGCTGCCCACATGATTTAAGTGTCCATTTTTCTTACTTGAGACCATTGGTGTGATAGAAAAATAGCTGTCTTTGGAGACAGACTTAGAAAATGACAACTTCTTTTTCTTATGATCATGTGACCTATAGCAAGTCACTTTACCTGCAGCCTTGGTTTCATCACTTGCAGAATGGTGCCATTATACTAATCTCATAGTGTGAGCATGGGAGCGAATGTGTGTAAAGCCTCTGGCTCAGCGGTTGGCATAGAGTAGGCATTCAGCCAATGGCAGCCATGATGACAAAGGGATATGAGGGTCACGTGGGTTGCTCTGGGTGCTGAGGCAGATAGCTCCCTTTATTTTCTGCGTGTCAGGGAGGACATTAGCCACGCCTAGGGAGGGCATCAGGGCATCATGTGGGCAAAGACACAGAGGGGTACAAATGTCAGCATTGTAAGGACAAACCCAGAAGAATGCAAAGGGGTGACGATGTGGAGTCTCCATGCCCTGAAGGTTCCATGGGAAGCTTAGAAGAGTACACATGAAAGTCAGTGATTCAAGACTGGGCTCAGGCCAGATGAACACACTGCCGGCCTGAGCTGTTGGAGCTCAGAGACAGAGATTCCGTGTGCTAGTGTGTTTTGGAAAGCCATCTGGGAGAAAGTGGGGAGCTGGTCCTTGAGCAGAGAAGAGGAGGGAGGCATCTGCATGGCATGGGCAGGAAGGTCTGGGCCAGCTTGCGGAAATGGGAAAGCTAGAGCAGGCTCTGAGGATGACAAAAATCCGACCCTGATGCCCACTGCTGCCACCACCACTGCCACCACCGCTGCTCTGGCCAGTGTGTTTCAAGCACATGCTATGTGCCATGTTGCACTGTGCTGGAGTAGAGATGTTCTGGTCTAATCTTCATACGGTGGAATAAGTAGCTCTAGTGATCTCCTCCACTGACAGACAGGAGACCGAGACTCAGGAAGTTAACCAGCTAGCAGAGGCTCTGCAGCCTCTCCCCAGGGCTTACTTTCCCTTTATGGAGGGATGAAGATTCTACATGCTGCCTGACACTCTCTGCGCTGCTGAGCTGGCACCTCTGGTGGGAGCCATTTGTTGCTGCTCACTGCCTCAGAACTGGGCGGCCTCATCATCAGGTGGGCGGTTGGTTCCTACTCCGTTGCCCTCACGGGCTGAGGCTGTGCAGCTGGGGGTGCCTGGTGGTGGCTGTGCTTCTGATATCTGTGAACAATATTCATGTTTTTGGCAGAGATTGGAAGCCAGGCCTTTATGTTTCCCCCTCTCCGTCCCCCAGTGACTCAGCTCTAACTTCAGGAAAGAATTTGGGACAGAGGGTGGTCTGGGCTGAATTGTGGCCCCTACAAAATTCCTACACTGAAGCCCCAGCTCCCTGTATCTCAAATGTGACTGGAATTGGAGATAGGGCCTTTAAAGAGGTGATTAAGGTAAATGAGGCCAATATGACTGGTGTCCTTATAAGCAGAGGGGATTAGGATGCAAACACACACAGAGAGAAGACCATGTGTAGACACAGAGAGGATACAGCCATCTATGAGCCAAGGAGAGAGGCCTCAGGAGAAACTAATCTTGCTGACACCTTGATCTTGGACTTAGAGCCTGAAGGACTGTGAGAAAATAAATATCCATTGTTTAAGCCACCCAGTCTGTGCTACTTTGTTATAGCAGCCCCAGTAGATGAATACAGTATGTTATTCCTGTCATCTGAAGCCCAGGGAGGAAAACTGAAGGTTTTAATAACAGTAACAATGTTAATCATCATTGTGAACGTACCTTGCAGCTGAGAATATTGAAAGGCTGTTTTGTGGGTGATGCAACTTGGGCATAAACAGGATGACATGTTTCTTATTGATAGAGCTACATTTCTTTTTAAAATCCCCACCATGCTGGAGTCCCAGGGAATATTCACGAGTGAGTGCTGCCTGATGATACTAGTTCACCTACAGATCAAACGCATACAAAATAATTAACGTTAATTCATCTGTTTATTTCCTGGGAAGTGCTTGTGGCCCTTTCCTTTGGCCATTGTGAACAGGGAGGCGGAGTGTCAGAAGAAGACCTACCCAGGCCTCAGCTTCCTTCTTCTAAACATACTTTGAAATAAGATTTGTCCCGACTCCGGGGGCAGCCAAAGAGCTCGCGGAGGAGCTAGATCACAGAGATATATATCCCAGGACAGCCATAAACGTCTCGGCTTATGATGCATCTGGGTGAGTTACAGAACCAATAGTTTTGATCAAGTGCCCAGCTCTATTCGATTAGCAGAAGGATAATGAGAATTGAACAGGAAAGGGGGCCTGGGGGAAGAGGGTAGGCTGGGCCTTGGGGAAGGTGTTGTGGGAGGAGCTGACGGCTTTTGCTTTATTAGAGGAGCTTGTTCTCTAAGCTTCCTGACCTTTGCAGGGCTGGGGTCCCGGGGTGATCCCTGGGCTCATACAGGAGATAAGAGTTTCTGGATGTAGCTTCCAAACACTATTAACCCTTCTCTCAGTGAGGCTTCCTCCTCCCAAATCGCTTCCCTCTGCATTCATCCCAGTCCTACCTCCCAGCAGCACTGCGAACAGAGAGGAGGAGGCGAAAGCTAATTGTTCAGGTGAATCTACTGGAGAGCGAAGGTGAGAGTCGGGATGGGAAGGAAGCCCTTTGAGGGAGGGAAGGATGAAGGGTGAGAGGCTAGCCATAGTCTTGCTCTCATTCTCGCTGGGCTCTCTAGCCTGGCTGCAGGGTCTGTTCTGGCACTTTCTTTTACCCCTTACTTGGTTACCCTTTTGTTTTTTTTCCTTTTTGACTTCCTCTCAAGGAAGTTCTTATCGTCTTCTTTCCTTATTACCTAGTTTTCTTTTTCCTTGTCTTCCTCTCCTGTCTCTTTCTTATAAGATGCCTTCCCTTTCCTTTTTTCTTCTCTCCTTTTTTCTTTCCTTTTCATTTCTTTCTTCTAATTTTTTCTCAATAGCATTTAGCTACCTCTTTAACATTTACTGGGGTTTAGCATCCGACACACCAGTCATTGCTTGGCACGGGAAACACAATGAAAAAGAGAGATGCACCAGTCCTCCTGGAGTGGAGGGTCTCGAGTGGGACACTGGTGATTAAACACATAGTTATTAGGAGACAGAGGCAGGTCTGGAGAAGGTCCAATGATGAACTCTCCTTTTTTTCACCCAAGACCTGAGCCAACTGAAAAAAGATAAAAAAGTAAGGCAGATGGGAAATCAAAATAGCACTCAAATTAACTAGGAAGCTGCCATTGGAGAATGGAGCTTGTATCTTCAGGCACGTGGGCTGCCTGATGCTGAATCTCAGAGTTGGCCCAGCAGTCCCAGGCAGCCTGGGCCAGGCAAGGCTCCCACTTGCAGCCGGAGAGCCTGCATCTGGGTAAATCCTACAGTATAGCGCAGCAGCTGTGCATAGGATGGGCTTCCTAGAAGAACTTGCTTCTAAGATGAGGGAGGAGGAGGAGGTCTAGGTTACTGAGACCCAAATCTCCCTTCCAGGGCCACTAATTGATATAAATTCAGTATAAATGAGTGAAGGGTGGAGAGAGAGGCCAGGTGTATGGTGCTAGTGGAAGCAGGCTTCATCTGATGGAAAACACCAGGAGTGGAGAAGTGTCTCCTCCAACCCCTCCACCTGGAACACCACTCACAACAGGTGTGTGGGGGTGTGTGTGTGTGAGTGACAGTGCACAGGAGAGGAACCTAACCTAGTATAGGAGTAATGGAAGGCTTCTTCTCTATGTACAAGTGACATTTAATTTGAGACTTCAAGGATTGCTACCTACCTTGATGGGAAAAAGTGCCCATCATAATCCAGAACAAATTAAGCAACATCACACCTCTTCCTCCCTCTCTAACCTTCTTCTGTATAAAATAAAACTCCAGAGAAGTCTTTCATTCAGTTATTCTGTCAACAAATATATATTTAATGCCTATTAAATGCAAGCCACTTTACTAGGCAGGAGAAATGCAAAGATTAATAGGATGTGGCTTCTGGCCTCAAGGAGCATTCAGATTAGTACGCTGGGTAGGGCATACTCACAAATAGCAGAAATTTAGGGGGCAGGGATGGGCATGTTTGTTGCTTGGTGTTGAAACAAGGTAAGAGCTCTAAGTGAGCTATGTTAGAATTTTATAGGGTTCATATGGGGAAGAAAAAACTTCTCGTTAAGGGGAGGAAGTGGTATTTGAGCCAAGCCTTGAATGGCAAATAGCATACAAACCAACAGATACTGACTTGGCCTTCCAAGTAGAAAGAACAGCATCAGCAAAGGCCTGGAGGGAGAAAAATCAAAGGGTATTTGCAGGGATCAGCAGGTTGTCCAGTTTATCTTATATACTACATAAGCAGGAAGATGTCAGAAAAATCAACTTTGAAAAAAAGGTGGGATCCTGGCTGTTGAAAGTTAATGTAATGATCTGTCTACACTTTGGTCACCAATGGTGATAACAGTTGCTAAGCTGGAAGTGTGAAGTGCTCAGATGGGCATTTTAGAACCCTAGACCTCTCCGATCACAGTGCTGTTTGGGTTGGAGGAAGCAAAACATGGAGACAGTATGATGTAGGGCAGCTTTGAGGAGTCCAGGTTAGATGTTCTGAATGTCAACAGTGGCCACCAGGGTGCAGCAAGTGGGCGGCACCTGGGAGTGGGCCCCTTCTAGAGCATGAGGGGAAGCAACAAGGGGCCAGCTTAGTCATGACTGGGGCAGAGAAATTCCTGGGGTGTGGAGTGCAGGCCCCACTGAGAGATGGCTGTGGGGCTTCAGCAGAATAGGATCTCGTGCCAGGTCCTGGGTGGTGGGGATGGAAATGGGGAGACCTGATCAGGCCGGCTGGTGTTCAGTGAAACCTGTGAGGTTCTGTAGGAGAATGAGGGTTTGTGAGCCCTCTCTGTTTGACCTTGCATCGTTATGTAAAAATTAGATTCCCCAAAGGGGGAAACTACAATAAAAACAAGTCCCAGAGAGATACACTTAGAGACAAGATGAACTCATGATTGTGGAGAAGCCAGGTCAGAGCATTGCTCAGAACCCTGTGTGCAGGTCGCTGCCGTGGGATGTTGTCACTTCCCTCCGGAGCTGCCAGCCCTCCTCCATTATTGCTTGGACTTTATGACTCCCTTGTTCTCAGAAGGAGAAAGGAGCTTATTAAGTGAAGTGGCTGCCAAGTGTATTTTAAGACGAACAAAGCCTAGATCATTTTTTTTGCTCACCGCATACCATACATAATTGTACGAAGGGTGGGATTTATTTGGTTAGCATTATGATTTTTTCCCCCAAGCTTAATTACAGTGGAAAAAAGGCAACTACAACTTGAAAGAAACAAGCTCCACGGTCATGGAGACCAGCATGACCATTCTGGGTTTGAAACGTACTTTCTTTGTGAAGGGAATTAATTGTATATGAAACTTTGGGGCTTACGTAAAACACATTTTTATGAAAATAAACTTGAACAGTCATTAAAATGAATAGTTGTTTTAAATAAGACTCAAATTACATGGTGGTGCCATGTAATTTTAGATGCCTCCTTTATTGGCTTTGTTTTGGGTTTAACTCTGCATTTGCTAAGACAATATCAGGGCCCCAGAGGTAAGTCTTAGCTTATAATTGGGAATCGAATGTATAATTCCAACGACAGATTATTAGGGGAGGTAAGGAAGTGAAAAAGCCTGTACAGTATTTAGGTCCAAATAATTCATGAATAAGTAATTATATGTTGGAAAAGTCCAACATGTTAGCAGGAAGTGTTGTGGCCTGATGGTTTGGCCTCAGACTAAGGAGCCGATTATGAAACTTGGCCTTCCGGCTTTGGGACATTCCCTGGGCAGCCTATAAATCAAAAATGTGATGGTCCCTACTGTTTCAACTGCCAGCACTGACATGCGGTATCTCTGACTTGGAGATCTGTGTGGTTCAGGGAGAGCCCAGAGCTGAGCCCTCAGCTGGGATTAGGCCACGTTGAAAGCTGAATAGTGCACCTCTCTGGGGTTCATCAGGGTGAGAACATGTGGCCGTGGACTTAGGGAGCCCACAGAGTTGTGTCCAGAAAGGTAGAGGAGCAGCTTGGGCTAGATGGCTCTGTTCTTGGTGTTCTGTTCCTTCCCCTGTCCCTGTCCCCTCATTTTGGGAAGAGGAGGTGAGCGACATACCTGAGCAGTGCAGACTCAGCTCCTGTTCTGGGGCAGGTGGGAAAGTACATCCTTTTTAACTGGGGAGAATCTGAGCCCATGGTCTCCAATCCTCAGGTGAGTGCCTCACTGATTTTCAGTCCCCGGGAACCTCCTACCTGTGCTCCTTACTCCACTAAATCACTAGTAGGACAGGATCTTGTGCCAGGTCCTGTCTTCCTCACTGCAATGAGATACGTGTAGCTATTTAGATAAAAACCTGCATAAGAGGAAAGAAGAGAAGCTCTTAGAGTCACACGTAGGGCTATTCAAGAAGGGGTCCTCATCCGGCTTCGCCCTGAGGTTCGTCCTTTAACTGATGGCTATTGCCTCGATGCCAGCATAGGTAATGAAGCCATCTTGTGTTTCCCATAGAGTTGTTTTGAGTTATCAGCAATGCAATACCTTATCCTATATAGCAATGCCGTACCTTATCCTATATAGCAATGCCCTTTTCTACCCACTTCTTGGATTCCCTGATTCAAACCAGTTCTCACTTGGTTTGAACAGAGAGACCAGCAACCACCCAAGGCCTCCAGATTGGTGTGAAGGTTGTTTAGCGAGGAGAGAGAGAGCACCCAGGTGGCAATTGCCAGGCAACAGAAAGTTCCCAGGGTGGAGTCTCCTGCAACCTCCCAGAGACCCATGCAAGCTACTGCAGGAGGTCTTCTTGGCTCCTGCAGGGGGTGCTGGATGTTCTCTCCCTGCCACCCTCACCACATGCATTAGTCCCAGGTCCCTTGGAGTAGTGAAGCTGCTTAGATAGCTCCCTTATCCTTAGGCGTGAGGCTGACCCCCACATCTCAGTGGTCATCTCCTGAAAGGGAGGACCAGGTTGGCCTCACCTTCTGTGCTCCATATAGAGGGACCTTAGGGCAAGGCGGGGAACACTATAGGTGCGTGGAAAGACTTGTCAAATGATTTATTTGTGGTGGTGGAAACATTTAAACCTAGAAGTTCTGAAGTGCATTTTGGTCTGGCCCCAAATGCATGACTGGAAACATGGGGTCTTGACATTTCTCTTCCCTTTCAATGGCATGGCTCAGTGAATCAATTCAAACCCATTAAGATTCTCAGAATGACAGGAGGAGAAAATCCTGCCAGTGAACACTCTTAGGATACTGTGACTGAACACCATTTCCTTGGACCTGGACTGTTTTCTCATTTTTAAAATCCCATCAATTGCAATCCTTCCTCGAGGTCGAGTATCTGGTTTTTACTTTCCTATTTCTTGACACAAAAGCCCATAGCAAAGGCTTGTAGATCCATGAATTACATACTTGTTAGTAACACCGTGTTGCCTCATGTTCAAGAGGTAATGTGGAAAGAGGTCTCAATTTTTCTGGGTTTGTAAATCTAAAGAGATAATTGCCTTCCAAAGACTGGCTGTGGGGTCCAGGGTGAGGAAACCTGGCATGCAGACCTGGGCTTGCCTCCTAACTCTTGTGTAATCTGTTTGTAGCATGTTCAAGCAACACCGTGTGTGTGCAAGTGTGTGAGGGAGTGATGTCTTAAGCAAACTGTTTTTTCTGTGGGAACACAAAAAAATCTAAATTAAACACATCTTCTCCAGGAGCACATCTGTTGCACAGAGTGAAGCCCATTCCATCAATACAGTTGCCTGCAGTGCAATGAAGTCATTCTCATCTAATTCCTAAAACCTGAAATGAGGATAACAGGCCAGTATTAAATATTAAAGGGTTTTTTTTTTTTTTTTTCACATTTTGCCGTTCTCTTCCAGAGAACACAAAGAACACTGACATATTTTCCAGAGCTCAGGTGGATAGCTAATGGACTGGAGAAGCTTTCAACTCAACTGAAGCGATACATAAAGAGAAAACTTAATTACAGTCAGGATTCAGTGGGTTAACTCGGTAAACAAATAGCCACCATAGAGTAGCCGCCGTATTTCATAGTATCTAAGAAACTATTGATTTTAAGAGGCACCGTTATTTTATGTACCTCTAAGAATAAAAAAGTACTGTCAATTAGACTATGACCACAATGCTTTATAACTTAGAATTATAATTTTAGATTTATTGAAAAAGCTCTTTAAGTTTATTTAGATACTGTGCACACACTAAAATAAACATATAAGCAACATAAGTTGGCTGCAATATTCCTAAGCTGTTTTCACACAACAGGCTCTTCTGAATACTCTCTGACTCTGAGTTGCTGGTGTCTGTGGGTCTGTATGCAGCGCCTCCCTCCATGACATCAAGAGCAGTGATAATCATCGTCTCTTCCCACATCACTGCCCTATTGATCTGGGGTTTTCTTCCCAGACCCTCATACCAATTTATAAGCTCTGGAACTGGTGCTTTCCTGATCTTACCAGAAGGCAAAAACCCAAGACTCATGTTCTTTTCTCAAATGATTCTTAAATGGTTTGCTGACTAAAAAATCAAGGTTTGCAATGGTCTCATTCTTCCACTAGAACAACAACCAGGTGTCCTCATGGGTGGGCACTGGCAAAGCCATGACCTTCATCTTGCTTAGCAACAGTTTAAGATGCCACTATCAGCATTGTGTTGGGCTGCCCTGGTAAGCTGCTTCCTACTTCCTTCCTCTCTAATCTCACATAACCATTATTTGCAGAGAAATCTTATGTATAATTCATTAGATGCATGGATAAGGATGCCTGATATCCTAATTGCTAGGCCCTGTATGTTTATTCCATGGAACTGAGAAGTGGAAGAGAGATGGTGAAGTCTAGATTCTTGCCTTTAAGGCCCAGCAACTGCACTCACTAGTAAAATGTGGCTCAATGAATGGTCAGCTTAAATAGCTACTGCTCCAGAAAGTCTTACCCAGTAGCCTTGCTGTGCGAGCCTCATACCTGGTACTTAGCTCTGTCGTAGCACATTCCATGCTGTATGGTGAGGTTCTATTTACTGTGTCCTCCTTGAGAACAGTCATCTTAGTAACCCCAGTGCATTGTGCAATGACTAGATTTTGGGTGAATGTTTGTCAAAAGATTGAGGCTGAAGAGGACAGGGCAGGAACGTTCAGGGGCAGGGAAATGTCAGCCAGATTTGGAGAAGGTGGAATTGTGCTGCTTGGCTGAGGTGGAGAGTGTGTGAGAGGAAGCAGTGGGAAGCTGGAACATGACTGTAGGCTGGTTCCAGGTAATGGAGGGCCTTGAGTACTACCAGAAGGGAGGCTACTTGCTTGTGCAGAACCTGGCTTAGACTATTTCAGGGCATCTAAGTGTAATCCAACTTGGACATGGAGTCACAGAGGACAATGTGGCAAAATGAATTGGTTACTATTAACCATATACCAGATGAGGTTATCCAAACAGAGAACCTGATACACCTGGAACTTCAGTAAAGTAGGTTATGTTTTCATAGTGGCATTCATTCATTTGCTCATTCATAGATTCTACTAGGATTAATGGATGATGACCATGTACCAGGCACTGAGGACACCTGGGATGAATGTTGCAGAATTTGTACCTTGAAGGATATCACAGTCTAATGGGGGAGACAGATCTGTGTATATCCACATATTTAAATTTGGATATATGAATATATAAGGAATTTGTACAATAGAAAGTATTTGGGATTCAGAGTGTTGCATTCAAAGTACTGTGGAGGTACAAGGAGGGAGAGACCGTCTTTACATGGGTGGGTCAAAGAAAATCTACAGGGCCAAGATGATTCTTAAAATATTTGTGACCAAGCCAGAGATAACTGTCTTCTATAGACATATTTCCCACAGAAGAGTGGTAGCCCCTATCAAAGAAGGGTGCAGAAAACGATGTGTACTCCATGGAATGCACAGTGTGTATTAGCATATTAAAGGCATATTGAAGACCAACAGTACAAACAAACAAACAAGAAACCCCCAACCTATTTGGCTTGTGTAATCTACCATTTTCTAGACTTAGCTGACCACTGAATCTTTCTATGGCAGAATACCTGTTAATATCTGAACACCTATTAACGTATCACACCTGTTAATTTCTTCATGTTACAGTTTAGGAAACATGTCTGATGACCTGTTTTGGGTGGGGGCTTCTCTGAGGCCAAGAAGCATTGGATGTCCTTCCTAATCCTATGGTTTTCTGCTGTCCTTAGAGTTCTCATTGAGAATTGATATTTGTCATAAGTGTAGGAATGCATGTGCTCATAAGCATGGTTTGTGCCTTTCAGTATCCAAAATTAACACAAAAATATAAAGTGCTGTGGAGCTACAAGGAGGGAGGGACCATCTTTACATGGGTGGGTTAAAGAAAATCTACAGGGCAAAGATGATTCTTAAAATATTTGTGACCAAGCCAGAGATAACTCTGCCTCAAAAGCCATATAATTTTGTATGGGAAGGAGTGTTATATTGAGATCAACCATCATTCATTGCACTGTAAAATGCAAAGGATGTTTATGAAATAATTTAGAGACTGAAAAAATGCGTAGGCATTGGCCACTGTGCTTCGTGAGTACTTCTACTAGGGGCTTCTAAGACTTTCTGGCTACTTGCAATGCTTTCTCAGACTTTAGTTTTATATATAATTTTGGTAACAATGCAGAAAAATTCCTTGTCAAATTATCTGGAGATGTTTCTTCTCAGTTGCTGATTGCTATAAAACTCAAAGCAAGAAGGATTCCTATTGTTATAATGAAAAAAGTTCAGCTTTACCTGAGCAATAACAATAAATGCTCACCAGTACACTTACTCTGAAAATTCTACTGTATATGGAAGATTTGGAATGACTTTGACTGTTCGATCATTAATATTCTGGATTGGTATATCCCTGTGAAACGTGTCTATAAAGTGAAATCTCATATCCCAAACACAGATTTCCAGTTTAACCAGAACTGGGGTCTATTTCTGGTCTATTTTGATTCTCAGACCCATAGGCCATACTCAATTTCTACATCTTGCTTGGTTGGCTGAGAGCATTAAAGTAACAGCCACACTCAATCTCTAGCCTTCCAGAAGCACATTCTCCTCCTTTCACTCCAGAAAGAGACCATAGCAGAGTTGAGCAAAGTATTGCAGCCCATGACCAGAACAGCATCTCAAGTGGTGGTTTTGTGATTGAGAGGAGGTTGTTTCAGGGCTGACACTATTTCCTTTGCGTGTATTTGGATAAGGAGGGTTTGAGAAGTATTTGTTAAATGAATGAAGGAGTGAATGAATGAATGCATGGCAGGTCAGCTTGAGCAATGTTCAGACTTGAACTTTTCACAGACCAGAGGGTAGATCAGTGGATGTCTGAGGCAGGGCAGCCCTCTCTCCTTGTCTTCCACATTTGTCGTAAACCTGACCAGATGAAATTCAGTGAGTCCTCAGTATAGCTAGATTTGAAAACATCGCCCTTCACCCTCCTTTCAAAGTGTGCTCCCCTCCACAGCCCTCCAGCCAAGCCCCCTCTGTCTGGGAAAGGTGCCAGGAGGGAAGAGTCCATGAGCAAGCCTCAGAAGGCATCTGAGGGTGATGAGAAAAACACATCTCACTGTGCACACAGCTCCTTCTGCCTCGGCTTTGCCTGTGTGAGCTTGTGGGAGAGGCTGGAAAGCACATTCTTTAAAATCTTGGCCCTTAAAAGGAATGCATCTTGGGCTGAAATGTCAGCTTGGCTGTGCCTTGACTGCAGGACAGTTCTTTTATTGCTGGCTTTTTGACATGATAAAACCCAGCCCCTTCCCTTCCACTGTGGGAATGGTTCATAGAACTGATGAAATTTCAAGCCCTCACTCAGCCAAACTGTATTGGATTTTTATCACAATACAAAGATTTTATAAATTGCATTTCTATCCTTCCTCTTTAGCCTCCTCCCCCACCACCCCCATCTCAAAACCATGTCTTATCTGGAACCAGCTGCATTAGATATCCAAGTAAGTCTTTACTCTGGACCCTGGGGTCAGTCACATCCATTTCTCTCCACCTTTTAAAAAGCCAGCCTGAGCTTGCACCACTCTGGCCTGCAGCAGGCTGGGTCAGGCTGTGGGTGGCCGGAAGATGAGCTCATGCCCTTGTCTCACTGCCCGGCTCATAGCTCATCTTGCTGAACTGTCACTTGCCGAGTTAAATCTGAGTTTTGAAACATCATTCTTCAGCTATTTATTTTTGTCTTTGGAGATTTTTAAGCACTACTTTAAATGTATTCCAGCTTTGTTTGGAAATTTGGCTTTGCTGACTTCTGACCTTACAACAGTCCCCCTGAGTTTAATTGCCTGATGTTACTTTGGAATCAACTAGAATTTACTTCTTCCCTTTCCTAGCATTTAGACAGAAAATCTGTCACTCCTACAGACATGGGCCTTCTCCCTGGCTTCCTTCACCTCCTGTCCTGGATTTTCCTAGGCAGTCTATGTGCCTCTGAGCCAGGGATGGCAGTGATCAATCTGTGCTTTCTGAAAGAAGGGGCTGATCAAACATTTCCATAGACAAACATTTGTGGGATATCTACTCTATGAAGGGCATGTAAAATGGAGCCTCCATTGAGACAACAGCTTCATCTTCATTTGTTCATTCTCGTGCTTGGGTGTTCTGTGTCCTAGCACTGCAGTAGGCACTGATGAGTAATAAAGAAATATAGTCTACTTTTTAGGAGTTTAAACACACATGGATTTAAGATGTACGTACTCACAGCAGAGTTCTATCTCAGCAGCACAAAGGTGTCACAAACAAAGTCTCTGGGTTCGTGGGCAAGAGGATGTTGCATGCTGAGAATGAAGCAGACGTGGTAATCTACCTATAACATTTCCTGAGCTTTGATCCTTGGTAAAGGCTTCTGCAGGGACTGAGGGAGACAAAGAGAAGAATCCATCTCGATCCCTAGCCTCAAGGAATTGACAATCTAATAAAGGAGGAGGCTCATGCAGTACACTGCGAATTCTTGTCTAGAGAGAGGCATAATCCTGAGATTATGAGGTGTGGCCAGCAGTCACTGTCCAATTAGGACCTAGTCATCCGCTCATCGGCCCCTGGGAGTTAATGATGGTTCTAGAAAGTCTCAATTTCCAGCCACAGCTGGCAGGGATGACCAGCCACACTGGCAACCACCTTAGCTTTGGTGATTGTACCTTTCCATCCTTTCTCCAAACCAGGTTCTGGTCATTTCCATTTTCTAGCTTCCTAAGTAACTTCGATTTTCAATATAGTTGCAAGTATCTTGGGTCTCTTAATTTGACAAAATAGCTTTTAAATAAGGACAGAGACATTGGAAAAAAGGGCATGACAGATTTTCACCTTATCTCCCAAGCCACTAACCACTGGTCCTTACTTGCCTGACCCTTTGAGTACTGCTGTGAGGGTGGGAAGTATGTCTGCAGGAGGGGAGGAAAGGCCTTTTAGGAATATGCATTCAGGAATCCAAGGGTTGAATTCCTTTGGGTTTCTGTTAGAAACAGCTTTGTGTCCCTGTGCCCAGAGAGGCGGTTTTATTTACAGTTCTTTCTCATCTCTTTGACTAGGTGGGGATTGCCAGGCTGGAGGAATGTTTGTGCTATACCCTGTAAATGTCCTCTGAAAGTCTTCATATCTTTTCTCTTTACCATCCCCTTTTCCTGTGTGTGCATGTACACACATGAACACACAAATGGACACATACAGGATCCTCAAGATGTATATGGCATGGGGAATGTGTGGCCATTTTGCAAGACCAAACTTGTAAGGCCATGAAGTGCTAGACAAAGCCCTGGCCTGGGAGCTGGGAGGCTTCAGTTCTAAGTCTGGTTTTTATCTCAGTGTGGCCCTAGGCAAGTTCCTTTCCCTTTTGCATTTTATGTTTCTCAATAGCATTATTAGGTGTTTGACAATACAATCTCTAAGAGCTTTCTATGATTCTAAGGATCTTCCTTTCTATCTTATTGGCCTCTCCTGGTATCAGGTAGGGGCTAGAGTTTTGGAACCAAAGCTGAAAATTGAGTCCAAATACGTTGTCCATCAATTAGCTCCAGGGAAACCCTGGGTGCCAGGGTGCAGTACCTGGGTGTGGCTGATGGGGCAAGGGGAGGGACATCAAGGAACCAGGGCTGCTCTAATGCCCATGCCTACGGGGTCCTTTAATTATTCCTGGGCCTAATGTGCACAGGTGGACTGATTTATTTAAGGGGACTACAGTGGAGTAAATTCTAACCTTTTATATTCAGTTCTGTAAAAGGGGAGAACTGACATTTTCCTTCATGGAAAGTATGTTTTCCTTTATATTGTCCTTCCTCAGTGGCCTTCCAAGTGGTTTAAAATGAAATACACTTAAACCAAATGCAGATTAAATCATCTTAAACACACAAACCAAATCCAGGAGGCTCTCAAGCAGAGGTGGGGACACAGTAGTTTTGCCTGGAGGTACCCAAGGACTATGGCTGCACAAGGGGGAGGCAGCTGAGCCTTACATTATGATCTGTGAGTTTCACTCCAGTGGGAAGAACTGGACTCACTTCAGATCCTGAAGAGATGCAAGTAAGTCTTCTCTCAAATTCAAAAGTCTAGAATGGTTACCTCAGCCAACAGCCTAATTGTAACCATGGAAGGGACTTTGTGGGCAAAGTTGTGAGTTCTGGGAGAAACATGTCTCATTCAGGTCAGGGATTTCAGTTGGTCCCCCCTTCTTCCATGATCCAGGTGACTCTTCCTGGCAACCAATTTGGAGTTTCTGAAGGTTGGAAAATGTTCCAGCACAGCTCTTCCGTCCTAATCATTAGTTTTTCATGCATCTACCAACCATCCATCCATCCATCCCTCCTTCCATCTCTCTGTCCATCCATCCTTCCATCCATCTGTCAATATAGCAAACACACTGTGAGCATTTATTGCAAGGACGGTTTGAGCAAAATGCAAATCTGCACCATTGTTTAAAACCATACAGTAGCTTTATAACTATATACATGAGTCATATCACTTTCCTCAAGTGTGGACGTGATGCAGCTCACTTAGGACAATGGCACTGTAAACTTGTCACACCACTGTTCTGCATCTTTTACTTGCTAAGATGTTGTTTGTCTGACATACAACAGGCTAGTTTGCTCTATCATGCTGACTCATCATATCGGTATGCCGTGATGATATACTAAATATGTGCTGTGGTCATGCCATGGTAGGTTGTAAAGACAGTGCCAAAGATGTCATGTCTGTCACTATGACATGGTGTACCTGCTATAATAATTGGTTTACTTGTGTGTCATCATGATGAATGGTACCTGTCTCTCCCTATGACATGAGGTATCTGTCTATCAAGGTGTCATTGTAGTATTTTTCCATCATGATGACACAGAATATCTGTTATGGTGACCAGGTATGCCTGTTAGTCACCATGGTATACCTGTCTGTCACATAGTTGTATGACACCATACCTACCAGCTATGATGATATGGTGGATCTATCAGTAGTGGTGATAGGAGGTATCTGGCTGTAACAATGGCACAGGGATCCTGCTTTTTGATCTTATGTGTTAGTTTCCCAGTGGCTCCATAGATCACCTTCTGTTCAGTTCTGTGTTGGTTGTCTTATCTAATCAAGTTAGTGCTCCAAATTTTTGCAATGCCCCCGAGCTGAACTTTCTTCCCCTTACCTGCTGAACTTGCTATTCTTAGCTCAAGAAATGGCCCTTATTATTGGTGTCATCTTGAACTACCTCCCAAACCTCAAACTTGAGACTCACCTGAGTCTCCCCTCTCTTCTTATTGCACAGTCACCAAGTCCTATGGCATCACTTCCTAATTATCCCCTAACTCATCCCCTTGTCTCCGTTCCCACTGCTCCAATTAGAGCTGTGGCCCTGGCTTTCCTGCCTCCAGAGGTGCCCCTGGTGAATCCATTCTCAACCCTATAATCAGACTGATCACTCTAGCACAGAGTGATCATGTCAGCCTCCTTTTCCAAGACCTGAAAACTGGCAATGGCACTTTACATTTTCCAAATGCAATTGAAATCTCAGATTCTCATTCCAGGTGTCTGGGATTTGGCCCTGACCACTTTTTACCCCTTGTCTCCCAGTACTTCTCTTTTAACCCTATTCTCCAGCCCCTCACTTGGCTCCTTTTTTATTCATGCCACTCTTACCATCAGACACTCACAGGCTGCGTGAATGTGAATACTGGCTCCATAATCCAAGGAGTATGTCATCTTAGGTGAGTTACCTAACTGCTCTGTGCCTCAGTTTCTCCATCTGTAAATTGGATAAACAATACACCTACCTTATCAGGTTGCAGTGAAGATTAAAAGAGTTAATTAATATAGAGGACATATAAAACTGCCTGACCCCTACCAAGCACTCAGTACATGTTAGTTATCGTTACTGTTACTAATTTTTTTTTGAGACAGAGTCTCACTCTGTCACCCAGGCTGGAATGCAGTGGCACTATCTCAGCTCACTGCAATCTCCACCTCCCAGGTTCAAGTGATTCTCCTGCCTCAGCCTCCCAAAGCTAGGATTACAGGCATGTGCCACCATGCCAGGTTAATTTTTCTATTTTTAGTAGAGACAGGGTCTTGCCATGTTGGCCAGGTTGGTCTCGAACTCCTGACCTCAAGTGATCAGGCCGCTTCGGCCTCCCAAAGTGCTGGGATTACAGGTGTGAGCCACTGTGCTAGGCCTATTAATCTTTTTTAATCCTTTTGTCTATATCCAGATTAGATGCCCTCTTCCATGAATTTCCTTTATCAAGTATTTCCTAAACACCCAAAGCTAGACATTGAATCTTCTGTGGGGTCACTCTTTGGCATTTATCACATTTTGCCTTATTTTATTGTTACTGTCATATGTACTTTAATAAACTCTAAGTTCTTAGAGGTAAAAAACGTATTTTAGGTGTCTTCGTCAGCACCCAGAACAATAAGTAGCACAATAAATAACAATAAATGAATCCGTGATTGTTTACTTCTTCTCTTTGAGATTGTAAAGATCTGGACTTTCTGATCATCTGGAAACAATCAACTCAGATGCTCACGGCACATGCTGAGAGACTCCTGCAGGTCGCTGAGACAAGGGGTGGTGAAATATTTAACAGCACAGGCTCTGACCCATCAGAATGAAGGCTGGCATAAACCACCAAGATGGTGGCACTGGCGTGTCCCAGCTGAACCCCTGAGATAGTGAGGATGCCCTCGGCCAAATAGGAGAACTCTGACTCAACTGCCTTGAACAAGAAGGGATTTACTCTCTCAGAGAAGAAGCCTGAACATAGGGTCACTCCACGTTAGTGACTTCAGGACTCAACTGCACGATGGAGGACCCAGGCTCTGTTCCCAGGAACTGGCTGTCTTCAGGTTGTCCTCCCTACAATAGCTTCCTAACAATTCCTGAGACAGAACACAAGAGAGTGTGCTCCTTTTTATCAGAAAGAGAAACTTTACCCTGCAGCCCCAACAGATCTCATCTGACATACCATTGGTCAGAATTTAGCCACAGGACTGTGCCTAAACCAGCCACCAGCAAGGAGAATGCAACCTCCATGTTAGCTTTTACCAATCACAATTTACTCAAGTCAGGAGGAAGAGGAATGGGCACTGGAGCAAAATCAAGGCTCTCCTAGCCTGAAGGAAGAGGGTTTTGGCCACTGATAACCAAAGACATCTGCCAATCACTCTTTATAAACAGGAGAGAGACTCTGCCACTGCATCTAAATAAACCTTGTACTTATTCAAATTTTAGATGAAAAACAAACATCACCAAACAAATCATATTCACCTGTAAATAAAACTGAATATGATCCAAATACAGGCTGGCCTTTGGGTGAAAAATCTCCACATTAATCAGAGGTTGTCCAGCTCCATATCTCCCAAATCCTGAAAATTATTCCATCACTTGAGCCTCCAGGGTAATTGCTTATGATTTGAGACAAACAAGATAAACATACATTTCTTCAAAGAAAGGCCTACTTCTACCAGCTATAAAGGCATACAAACAAAATTTTCAGTGCTGTTATATCTTATTTCTGTTTTTTTTAATTTTTTTATTTTTTTGAGATGGAGTCTTGCTCTGTCACCCAGTCTGGAGTGCAGTGGCACGATCTCAGCTCACTGCAACCTCCGCCTCCCAGGTTCAAGTGGTTCTCCTGCCTCAGCTTCCTGAGTAGTTGGGATTACAGGTGCACACCACCATGCCTGGCTAATTTTTTTATTTTTAGTAGAGACGGGGTTTCACTGCGTTAGCCAGGCTGGTCTCGATCTTCTGACCTCGTGATCCACCTGCCTTGGCCTCCCAAAGTGCTGGGATTACAGGCTTGAGCCACCGTGCCTGGCCATATCTTATTTCTAATTACTCATGGGTCAGTCTTTCAGTGGCTTTCATTGTCTATTAGAAAAACAAAAACAAAACAAAACAAAGAACCTCAGCAAAATGCCCAAGGCCCTCTGCACCTGGGCTCACTCTGACTCACCATCCTGTCACCCCCTGTGCCCAAGAGCTCCTGGCTTTGCAGCCACATGGATATACTTGAATGGATTGGACACATCTTGTTCTTTTTCTTAATTTTTGTTTTCTTGGTCTTTCATTCTTTGTCTTTCTGGCAACTTCTAGCCATCCTACAAGACCTAATTCAATTGTCCCCTCCTTTGTCAGAAGCATGACCTTTTCTAGGCCTTCCCAGGCAGGTCATTGTGCCTCTGCCTGTGTATGGCTCAGCCTTAAAGCACCCCTCTGTTGGAGCCATTGCCATGTTGCTGTAATTCTGTGATCTGCTGGCACCTGGTTTCCTTAAGCTGAGGGGTCACTTCTACATTCTCTGCCACCACCTTCTGGCATAGACCCAGTACACATCATGGGGATAAGGGTGGTAAATAAATGGTTACATGTATAAGCTTATAGTTTTCTTTTTCTTTCTTTTTTTTTTTTTGAGATGGAGTCTGGCTCTGTCGCCCAAGCTGGAGTGCAGTGGCGCGATCTCAGCTCACTGCAAGCTCCGCCTCCTGGGTTCACGCCATTCTCCTGCCTCAGTCTCCAGAGTAGCTGAGACTACAGGCGCCCAGCACCACTCCCGGCTAATTTTTTGTATTTTTAGTACAGACGGGGTTTCACTGTGTTAGCCAGGATGGTCTCGATCTCCTGACCTTGTGAGCCACCTGCCTCGTCCTCCCAAAGTGCTGGGATTACAGGTGTGAGTCGCCACGCGGCCACTTATAGTTTTCTTAATACATTAGAGATAACTTGGTGGATGTGTTACCTATTACCCTCCTTCAAGACAAGGTCCAATTTAAGTCATAATCTGATCATTTATGAACAGATTAGCTCCTTGCAAATGGGCACATTTCTGCATCTTTACCTTGACATATATGCACTAATGGCAGCAAGAACCATTAACGAATTCATTATTTCTGAATCCTAGTTGCACTTTCACTTGCTAAGGTTAATTATTGATTTGTTTTATTCTGTGATTAAAGCCATTAGCCACTATTAGCAAATGACGATGTTTAGGCATGTTTGAATATCAGCTGGGTTGCATTTCATAGCAGGGGCCCAAGCTAAATTAGCACTCTCTGGGACTGACATCTAGAATGGTGATACGTGCACTTGCTGAAGGGGGCCAGTGATTTTTCCACGATTAACAGGACCTGATTGCCTTTGCTAATTATTCTTCCTGAGCATAGACACTGGCTGGAATTTACCTTTAGTTAATTTGGCCTCTGTCCTTATCTGAATTTGAATGACCAGAGACTCCTGAGCAGGAGTCCTAGGAGGTCTAAGAAGTCCCTTGGCTTCAGTGCCTACAGACCCTGCTTTTAACTTTCCTCTAGCAGGGAGGTGGAATGGGCTCATTTTCTCTTTGAAATATTTGGGAATAAAATTTGCAGCTCAGGGCTTGGCTTCACCTGGACACAACTTCTGCCAATGAGGAAGAGACTGCTTTTCAGAGCCCTCTCTGAGTGGGTCATGCCCTTCAGCTGTGCCCTCATTTGGGGAAGGTTGGCCTGAATGTACCTGGCACCAGTGAAACTGAGTTTTAGATGCAGGGAGCGTGGAGACCAGGGTTGAAGCCCACCCTTCATTCTCTGTGTTAATTAGGGAAGATGAACTATTGTAATAACAGCCCCCAAATCTCAAAGGCTTAGCATCTCACATCCAATGTGGAGTTGCCAGTGGTTGGGAGGGTGGGGGCTCTGCTCTAAAGAATACTTCCTTCTGGTGGCTCTTCCACCTCCAAGGGCCTTGGGGTCCTCCCCAGTCTTCTCTGTGACCCTGCCTACAGCCATGCAAATGGAGGTGGAAGACTGTGTGGGAGGCTCGGCTCTGTGGGTTGGACCTGGAGGAGCACCCATCCATCCTGCCCATATTCCCATTGGCCAGAACATGTATACAAGCAACCGCAAGGAGAGTGGGAAATGTAACCCGACAGCTCTGTCTGGCAAAAAAGAGAAACAGTTTTGAAAAGAACCCACTGGTGTCTGCGGCAATCTCCTTTGCTTCTTTCTGGCAGGTGAAGCTAGCCAGTGCTGAGAGGGTTTTCACACTGGGGCCACTTTCTCAGCCTGTCATCTCTTTCTTTGGTGTCACAGGGAAGCCCACTCCAGCTGCAGCCTTTCCTGAATGGCCTTCAGTTTTCTTCCTGTAGAGGCAGAGAAAATAGCTTGAGGGCGTGACAGCCACAGACCCATATTCCTGGAGATATACCCTCCAGCTCCTAACCTGGTCTGGGACCCACAGTAAACATTTGTTGAGTGAATAACTGGCTGATTGAATGACTTTGGTGAACCTAAGTTTCCTGTCATCTGACTTTGACATATATTCATTTTAGAAGGCTCATCTCTTTACCCTTTGCACAAGCCTTCCTGATTGTTATCTACAGTTCATCTTTCCCAGGGAGATGGTTCAATTAAGATACCTCAAAATGAGTCTATGATTCGAAGGTACAGCTGACTGCACTCTGATTAACTTCCTATTCATCAGTCACAGAGATATATGATGGGAATTACCAGGGCAGGCAGGAGGGAGGGCAGGCAGGCTAGGGGGAAGTGAGATAGCAGGTGGAAGATCAGGGTTTTGGGGTAAAAGAAGATGAGAAAACTGCCAGGAGAAGGGTGAGGTCCCCAAGGGGACGAAAAGCCCCAGCAGGTAGCATGAGATAGGATGTAATCTTCTAGAAACTGTATTTATGGTGCTTTAGCACTAGAGCGTCTGACTTCAAAGTTAAAGTGAACTTTGTTATGATGTGAAAAGGAAAATAAGTATGAAATGATGGAGGAGGCTGATGACTCGGAGGCTTAAGTGAAGGAATTTTTGAGGCCCAGTCTCCCTTCAGTTTGGCGATCTCAGCATCTGCTTGGAAGGGTGGGTGATGGTGCTTCCTTACCAGAGAGGCTGCTGTTCCCTCATTGGGCGTTTGAATGGTTGGAAAGACCTCCTGCCCTCTCATGGCTTCATTGCTGTGTTAATTTCTGGGGCTTTTCCAGCTTCCGGTAGTTTTCTGGCAACTTTGCCATTCCTTGGCTTGTGGACGCCTCACCCCAACCTCTGCCCTCATCATCACATGGCGTTCTCCCCTGTGCGCATGTTTGCCTTTGCATCCACATTTACTCTATCTCAAGGACATGATCCTATTGGGTTAGGGCCTACCTTAACAGACTCATCTTAACTCGGTCATCTGCAAAGACTCTATTTCCAAATGAAGTCACATTCACAGGTACTGGGGGTTAGAATGTCAACATCTTTCTGGGGGACACAATACAACCCATAACAATTACCAGGGGTATGCTGAAAATTCTCAGTGCCTCACCTAAGCCCAGAATCCTCACCTGACACCAGAGCGCTACATCCCAGTGTCTGCCAAACATTCCCATCTCGATGTCTCCTGAGCAGCTCCAGGAGTGGATGGAAAAGCTGAGCTCTTCTCCTCCTCCCCTCCAATCTGCTCCTTTCCCCGCAGTGCCTAGGTCAGGGAATTGACACCACTATCCACACGGTTTATGAGGACAGACATGATGAACATCCTCTATGACCCCCTCCTCTGTTTCACCTATTATGTTCAGTTGTCCACCAGATCCTGCAGTTTTGCCCTCTTACTATCTCTCCAATCCCACAGGCCACCAGGCTGTTTTTCCAGGATGATCGTACCAGTTTCCCTACTGGCTTCCTTGCCTCCAGTCTTGCCCAACTTCAATCCAACTTCTGCAAGTGTGACAAGGTGACCTTCCCATAGTGAAATTTCCTGATCATCTCACTTCCCAGCTTGAAACATCTTAGGAATTCCTCCCTTGCTTTTAGAATAAATAAAAAAAATCCTTGCATGGCCCTTTTAGCTGTGTCCAGTCTCATTTCTGCCCACTCCCCTCTTTCACTTCAATTACTCTGAGCTAGAGAAGCTGCAGTTTCCCAGGTGTACGCTGCTTTCTCCTGCCTCACCTTCAGACCTTGGCAGATGCTGTTCTTTCTGCTGGAAGGTTCCTCTGCTCCACTTCCTCTTCTTCCCAGCAGCTACTTAGAGTTTACACCTCGGGTAGATCTCACTTTCTCTATCCACCCTCCCTTAAGTCCCAAGAGTATCCCCATAGTTTCCTGCTGAAACTTACTCTGAAAGTGTTGGGATTACAGGTGGGAGCCACGGTGCCCAGCCCATAATACTATCTTTGAACATGTTTTGTAACTGAAGTCCAATGTGAGTGGCACAAGCACTGGGGGTCCCACCCATCCAGCACATCTCTAGAATGGATTCTCAGGTGCTCAGTTGTCTCCCTTGGCCCAGCAACTTCTGGTGCTTTCTGTGCTCAGCAGAGACCTGGGTGAGGGTGTGGCTCTGAGTCACAGGACGGGAACCCAGGCACCTGTGAGGGTCTGCGCTCACCCAGTGAGCATCCTGAAGGCAGGCCCATTCCAGTAAGATTTAGGTTTCTTCCTTTGCTTGACTTTGGCTTGAGGACTTCCATTAGCCTTGCTGAATCTTTCTGGAATTGTGCTGGAGTCCAGAGAGATGGAGAGACTGAGGAAGGAAGGAAAAACTTTTCCTGCTTTCGGAACAACTGTTCCCACATTTTCATGTTGCAATGAACCCTGCATATCATGTAGCTGGTCCTGCCTGGCATATAGTATGTAAAAATGGCTGAGTTTTAGTCCTCTTACATAGCTCTCAAAATCCACCCATGTTTCTTCTTTTTTTCCTTTTATTATTTTTAATTATTTCTTTTCTTTTCTTTTTTTTTTCTTTTTGTTGGTGGACAGGGGTCTAGGGAATGGGGCCAAGTTCCTTCTTTTCCACTTCCATGACCCAAATCCAGGACCAAGCTCCTCCCTTCAACAATTTCAACAGCTTCTGTTTGTCCTTGTATTCCAGGTGCCTAGTGGTGGGTTTGACACAGAGCAGGACCTCAGCAGGAACACGATGAATAAATGAACTAATTAAGTAAGCAGGAAAAATAGTCTTAAAAATAGCCTGTTGTCAGTTCTGCAAGTTAAAGTGACTCCCAGGTATATCACTGATAAATATCTCCAGGAATTAATCAATTCTGCCCTCTGGCCTCTGCCAGGAGGTGGTCAGATCCCTGGGCTAATCCGTGTGGGCTGCCCCACTCAGGCCGTACTGCCCTACTCCAGCCATACTGCCCTACTTGGACTATTCTGCCCCACCCTTCACCTAGGCAGGGCCCAGCTGCAGGCCACAGATGCACTGGAGGACCAGAGAGGCTTCAAAGGGGGAAGCTGTCACTGAGGCATTTGAATGGCCAAGGAGCAGTTTATCACCAGAAACAAAGACCCATCCGGTCTTCAGTGATGTCTATTACAGGCCACATCTGAAGCGATGTGGCCCAACAGCTGACACATGAAGGGGGGGAATATAGAGAGAATGGTGTTGGGTTTTGGTTTGACTCCTCTGCCTTAGTTTACCCAGGGAGGCATGGGTCTCTAGGAGATTTGCTGGAGGGTATGAGGAAATTACTTCTGAAGAGGTTGTGCAAGGCTGCCTGTGATCTGGCTGGCTGAGCCTCTGCCACTGTGGCCTCATGAATTCTCACGGCAGACAAAAAGGTCCATTAGGCTGAATCTGCTTTACCTTTTGTCTTACTCATTGTGGTTGTTATAACAAAAATCCTATAAACTGGGTGACTTAAAAACGACAGGGCTGGGCACGGTGGCTCACACCTGTAATCCCAGCACTTTGAAAGGCCGAGGTGGGTAGATCACTTGAGGACAGGAGTTTGAGACCAGCCTGGCCAGTGAAACCACGTCTCTACTAAAAATACAAAAATTAATCAGGCATGGTGGTGCACGCCTGTAATCCCAGCTACTCGGGAGGCTGGGGCAGGAGAATCACTTGAACCTGGGAGGTGGAGGTTGTAGTGAGCCGAGATCATGCTACTGCACTCCAGCCTGGGTGAGAGAGTGAGACTCCATCTCAAAAACAAAACAAAAACAAAAACAAAAACAAAAAAACCCAGAAATTTATTTCTTCCATTTATAGAGGTGGGAAAATACAAGATCAAGGTGCTAGCAGGTTCAGTGTCTGGGGAGGGCCCACTCTGCTTCACAGACGGTGCCTTCTTGCTGCATCCTCACATGGTGGAAGGGGTTAGGTAGCTCTCTGGAGTCTCTTTTATAAGGGCACTAATCTGATTCATGAAAGTACCATCACTTTGAGGATTAGGATTCAACATAAGACTTTTTGGAGAACAGAAACATTGAGACCATAGCACTTTCAAAGACCCATCACCCAACCTAGATTTCCGTCTAAGTAGGCATAGAACTTATGCCCACCTACTACTATACTGGTTGCATCTTGTAATGCTCCAGTGGCTCTTACAATTGGCCAACAGTCAAGAAATTCATAGCTATGATGCTCATAATAGCAGACACTACTGCCACCACATTCTGCTGATAATGTGCCAAGAAGTACATTTAGTGGCCTTGCTAATAACACTGAACTACTTTATTGGAGCAGGTTTAATTTTCTGTGGCTCATGTTGTTTGAACAAAGCAAAGTATGTCTGTCAAGTATTGTTTGACAGATGTCATTCCTATGGAGGGCAGAAATGGTCAGTATGATGTGTGATGCCATTGGCACTGATGACTCAGGGTGAAAGCAGCAAGATTCACTTCTTGGTGATTGCAGCAGCTGTAAACCAACAGCTGCTTTTCCCATACACTTCCTTTACCAACAGGAAATATAAGTCAGAGGCTATGGACAATTTGGAATTCGATTCCAATGGCCTTATGAGATTCACTATTGCATTGACGCTAAGGCTACGCTCCCTGATGGCTGCTACCAGCTACTGCCTGAGCACGGCCCTAATACCAAGGCAGGTCCATCCCCATAAGATGCAGGATGGCTCCAATAGATGACTTTGGCCTCAGTCCTTCCAGTGGTCTTGCTAAACCATTGAGACGGTGCTGCATTCCAAGACTCTTCTACTTTGAATCCTTCTTCCTTCCCTCTCTCCTTTCAGAGATGTCAGATCTAAGTCATCGACTGAACACTTCCTCCTCTTCTCCTGCCCCCTCCTCCAACAACTCTCTTGCATGTCTCACCTTGTTTTAATGTCTGCTTCTCGAGGACTTAAATGAATGTATTCACTTCCCCCATCTATCCATTCTCAGGGATAAGTAAAAAATGTATGTTTCTGGTTGTTGGTGCTAGTGGGGAAGCCAGTATTCAAGAGGTGGAGTAGACAGAATTGGAGAAGGGAGACCGGGAAGGAGCCTGGGGTTTTGTCATCTGTGAAATTGTAGAAGCTGACACTGCCTCACATTCATGCTCCATAAAGGGGCGGGTACAGAGCAATAGTGATACCAGGGGCAACAGTGTCATGGCCTGGCCTGACTTCATTTGGGAACAGCACAGAAAGGAGTAGCTCTGAGCTCACAGGTATGGTAGCAATTGAGAATGGTAAGGACCAGAATCATAGATCAACATATCATTCACCATTTTCCAGGCACACAGCAGAAGTCCCAAACATTTACATCCAAACATCTCTTAAAATGACAGAGACTGAATTTATCCCACATCCTGTTTAGTTGAGGCCTGGAGTCAGGTTAAATATGATGTAGAAAAATAAGATGATCCTACAGTTCTGATATCTAAGTGTTACAAAGTCCAAATAAAACATCTACATGCTTGTCAGAATGGACAGGTTCTCTAAACATAACTGGAGGGAAAACAGTGAAATGACACCTGTTCCCAAGAACAGTGACTGAGGCTGGAATGATAACCATACGCAGAGTGTGGGAGTCAGGCTGTGCTTCTTTATGGAAGAAAGTCAAATCCAAGTAAGGATTGGAGACTGAGAGTATGAGTCAAGTCCCCAAACACTGACCGAGGACTCTACTGCGGTCAACTGCTGGACAGCAGTGCCTGCACACATGAAGAAGGTACGGAGGGACTGGAGCAGGTCTTCCCAGATGAGTCTATGGAGCTCACAGGTCCCTGTGCACAGCCAGATGGAAGGCATATTTCCAGGTGAGAATAGGAGACCACCCTGGAGGAGCAGAGGCACTTCACCTCGAGTTTTTCAGCTGATGCACCTCCGACCACAAAGGAAAGGGTATGCTTCCAGGAGGCGAGGGTAGAGTCAGAAGTAGCCTGCAGCAGATACAATTTATGGCCTTGCATTCTACTCATAATCTATTTGTGTGTTTTGTTTATATTTTGGAATGACAAAATGATTTTGCATCTTTTAACATAACTATAAATGAGAGTGCTCACATCTTAATTTGTAAAACAGTAGCAGTCATTAATTAAAAAAAAATTCTGGTTGGGTGCGACCAACATAGTGAAACCCTGTCTCTACTAAAAATACAAAAATTAGCTGGGTATGGTGGTGCACACCCGTAATCCCAGCTACTCAAGAGGCTGAGGCAGGAGAATCGCTTGAACTTGGGAGGCGGAGGTTGCAGTGAGCTGAGATCTCACCGTTGCACTCCAGCCTGGGCAACAGAGAAAGACTCCATCTCAAAAAAAAAAAAAAAAAAAATGCAGAGAGCATAAAGAAGAAAATTAAAATGACTCACAATGCCACCAGCCAGGCAATCCTTACTAAGTTTTAGAAGAAATATCAAGGTGGTACATGCATAAAAAATAGCAGAGAAAAGTTTGAAATAAAGTGAAGTCAGTTCTTCTAGGCAATTCTGGAATGAAGCCAATGTTGGAGCTTCAAAACCCATAAAGCAGGACTTCACCACTGAGCAGGATGGAGTAACAGGGGCCAGATTTAGCCTCCTTCTTCAACAAAATGAGAAAAAATATAAATGAAGTTACAGTTTTCAGTCATTGGACAACAGGCATTGCTGGAGTGCACTCGGGCCCCCAAGTGAAGCAAAACAATGAAGGGAGTGGTATGATTGCCCTTGAACTGCCCTAAGAGACCTTCTAGGAGGAGAAGGGGGTCACTCAGATCGTGGGAGTCTCCCTGGGTTGAGGAGATAGAATTGAGAATCTGGGGAGGCCAGGACAGCTAGGATACTCAGAGCAGAATATCAGAAAGGAGAAAATAGCACAGAAGAGAGAATGCTGCATTCTCATGGGACCAGAGAGTACCAGAGGGTTCACCTTAGAGGTTCTGCCTTGTAAGGATCAACACACGCCTGTGAGGAAACTTTCCAAGGCCCGGAAAGGAGCAGGTGAAACAATTCTTGATGATCACGCAGGGCCAGGAATAGATTGTATTCCTGCCAGCCAGAGTAAAAATAACATTGCAATGCACAGGGCACTGGATAAAATGTTCAGTTTATTCAGTTTATAAAGTATTCAGTTGTTGCCTCAGTGGTGGGCCAGAATCAGCCGTCAGTTAAAGACTACCTTGGTCCTGCCAAAAAAGAAAAAAAAAATCTTAAATGAAAGCCTCAAAAGGATCAAGATGTTTTCAAGCAATTTAACAGGGTTCCAATGCAATGCTCAAGAATATTTGAAGAAATACAAAAATCAAGTGTTAAGGTAAAATTCACAATTTTTGCAACTCAACCAAAAAATTACCAAAATTACCAGGTATACAAAGAATCAGAAAAATATTACTATAATGAGGGAATCAATCAATCAATCAATCAATCAATCAATCCATCAGTATAAGCAGACTCAAAATGACACAGATGATAGAAGGAGTTGAAAATGTCATAAATGTATCTCCTATATTCAAGAAGAGAGAGCAAGGTTTTCCAACAATGGTAATGGTCTGTGGGTCAAATCCAGCCTGGAGTCTATTTTTGTACGGTCTGAGTGCTAACAATAGTTGTTTCTTTTCTTTAAAAATTTTAAAGATTACTTTAAAAATATTGTAAAAAATGTGACAAAAACATATATGACTCCTTAAGCCTAAAATGTTTACCATCTGGTCCTTTGAAGAATAAGCTTTCTGATCCCTGAGGCCGAGAAAATATAGACATAGAAAATATTTTAAAAAGGCTCAAATTGAACTTCTAGAGATGCAAAATACAGTATCTGAGATGGAAAAGGTGCTGGATGGAAAAGATGTTGGATGGAAAAGATGTGGGATGAAAACAGCAGGTATGACATTACAGAAGAAAAGATTACTGCACTTGAAGACATAGTGATACAAATAATTACAAATGAAACCCAAAAAAGACAAAAAACTGAAAAGAAACAGAGCAACATTGAAATGTGGGACAACCTCAAGGAACCTCTCCTCCATGTAATTGTAGCCCATAAAAGAAGCAGGGTGGGGAGTCAGAAAAATTATATGAAGAAGTAATGGACAAACATTTCCTAATCTGATAAAAAAGTTTAAGCCCACATTTGCAAGAAGCTCAACAAACCTCAAGTAAAGAAACATGAAGAAAACTGCGCTAAAGCAAATAAAAATCAAAGTGTTTAAGACCAGTAGTAAGGAATATCTTAAAAGCAATAAGAGACACAAAGCACATTGTGAACAGAGAACAAAAATCAGAATAATAGCAAATTTCTCACTAGAAACAATGTAATCCGAAAGACAGAAGATCTATATCTGTCAAGTATCAAAAGCAAAAAAAAAAAAATAGTCAACTTAGATTTATATTGCCAGTGATAATCTATTTCCAAAATGAAGTCCAAATAACGAGTTTTACAGACAATAGAAAAGCTTAAAGAAGTTGTCACCAGAGACCTGTGCTGCAGGCTATGTTAAGAGACAGTCCTTCAGGAAGAAGAAACATGATACCAATGGCAAATCTGAATATACACAAAGGAATGAAGAGTATGGGAAATCAAAACCACGTGGAAAAGAGGAAAAGACATTTTTGTATTTTAAAAATCTCTAAAACATAATTGATTGTTTAAAGTAAAATTAATGAAATGTTACTGTGGGGCTTATAACATACTGTATATAGAAGTAAAATAATACAAAGCCCAGGAGGTGGAGGATAAATGTTCTTATATTATGTATAAAGTGGTAATATATAACTTGAAGGTAGGTTGTGATAAATTAAAGATATATATAATGAAATGTGAAGGAACCACTAAGACACAAAAGAAAGCCATAGCTATGACTGTGGGAGATAAAATAGAATTATAAAAATACTATTTATAAAAAAATCACAAGTACATTAAAAGCACATGGATGGAAAAAAAGGTGTTCCATGCTAACAACAATCAAAAGAAAGCTGGAATAGCTATATTGTAAGATACAAAGTAAAATAAGCAAAGAATAGTATCAGGGATGAGTAAGGCCATTTCCTAACAAAAAAGAGGTCATCACATCAATGGAAAATAACAATAAAAAATGTTTATGCACCTAAAAATAGAGCTTCAAAATACATGAAGCAAAAACTGATAAAGCTAAAAGGAGAAGTAAACAAATCTACCGTTACAGCCTAAGATTTCACACCTCTCTGTCAATAATTTATAGAAAAAGTAGACATAAAATCAGGAATGATATAGAGGAATTGAATAACACTATCAATCAACTACCTAATTGACATTTATGGAACACTCCACTCAACAGGAGCAGAATAGAGATTCATTTTAGGTGCACAGGGAACATTTGCCAAGAAAAACTATATTCTGGCCCGGCCCATAAAACAAACCTCAACAGATTTATATTCTGCTCCATAAAACAGGTCTTAATATATTTAAAAGAATCCAAACCATGCCAGGCATGTTCTGTGATCAGAATGGATTTAAGTTAAATATTAATCACAGCAAGACATCTGGAAAATCCCCAAATATTTAGAAACTAGATAATACATTAAAATATTTCTTCAGTCAAAGAAGAAATAAAATAAATTAGAAAACATTTTGAACTCAATAAATGTGAAAATATGACATATGAAAATTTGTGGAATGCATATAAAGCAATAGTTAGAGGAAATTTTATAGTACTAAATGCCTACACCAGAAAAAAAGAAAGGCCTCAAATCAGTGATCTAAACCAGGGGTTGTCAAAGTATAACAGATGAGCCAAGTCCAACCTGCTGCCTGTTTCTGTAAATAAAGTTTGATTGAAACACAGCCATGTTGATTCATTTGTGCGTGGCCTATGACTGCTTTCATGCTATAACAATAAAGTTGGTTAACTGTATGCATAGCAAAACCTAAAATAATTATCCTCTAATCTTCATGAAAAAAATTTGCTGACTTCTGATCAATGCTTCTACTTTAGAATATAAAAAAAAAAGCGAATGAAATCTAAAGTTAGCAGAAGAAGGGACATAATGAAGATAAAAGCAGAAAGCAATGACATAAAAAACAGTAAGGATAATCAATGAAAGTACATCTATGAAAAGCCTATAGCAAAACCATACTTGATCCTGAAAGAATTAATGCTTTCTTCCTAAGACTAGAAACAAAGCAAGAATATAAATTATGAAAACTCTAAAGCATTGCTGAGAGTGTTAAAGGAGGCAGAGGTAAATAGAGATATAAACCATGTTCATGGGTCAAAAGACACAATAGTCGTAAGATGTCAGTTCTCTCCAAATTGATGTGTAGATTCATCATAAGTCCAAAGAAATCTCAGCAGCTTTCTTTTCCTAAATATTTATAAGCCCATTTTAAAATTTATATGGAAATGCACAGAATCTAGAAGAGCCAAAGCAACATTGAAAACAGGAACAAAGTTTGATTTCAAATTTGTTATAAAGCCACAATAATCAAGAAAGTATAGCATTGACATAAATATATACTTAGATAAATGGAACAGAAGAAAGAGTAGAGAAATAGATATACACATTTTTGATTAACTGATTTCCTATGGTCTCAATGCAGTTTAGTTGGAAAATGAGATTTTTCTCCATTAAATGATGCCAGAGCAATTGCAATTTGCAGAAAAATGAATTTTGATCTTTACCTCACGCCATATGCAAAAATAAACTTGAAATGAATGATAGGCCTAAATGCAAGAGTTAAATGACAGAGCTTTTAACAGATAACATAGGAGAAAGTCTTCATACTTGGGTTTGGCAAAGGTTTCTTAAGTACGTACCAAAGAGAACAAATTACAAACACAAATAGAAATAGAAAATTATCAGAATTACAAATTCTTATTCTTCAAAAGAAAAGGCAGGCCATAGGCTACAAGAAAATATTTGCAAAACATGTATCTGACTTAGGACTTTTATGAAGATTATATGAAAACTCCTCCCACTCAATTGTAAAAAGACAAATGACCCAATTAAAAAAAGTACAAAAGATTTTCACCGACTCTTCACCAAAGAAGTTATATATCAGTGGCAGGAAAATACCTGAAAATATACTTAACATCATTAGTTATTAGGGAAATGCTATTAGAAAC